>NC_000018.10:20561539-20564714 GCF_000001405.40 Homo sapiens
TTATCTGAAGACAATCCCGTTTCCAAGAAATCCTAAAAGCTATGCAAATATCCTCTTGCAGATTCTAGAAAAAGAGTGTTTCGAAACTGCTCTATGAAAAGAAAGGTTCAACTCTGTCAGTAGAGGGCACACATCACAAAGTAGTTTCTGAGAATGCTTCTGTCCAGTTGTTATGGGAAGATATTTCCTTTTTCAACATAGGCCTGAAATCGCTCCAAATGTCCACTTCCAGATACGACAAAAGGAGTGATTCAAACCTGCTTTATGATAGGGAATGTTCAACTCTGTGTCCTGAATACAAACATCACAAAGATATTTCTCAGAACGCTGCAGTCTTCAATTTCTATGAAATCCCGCTTCCAACGAAATCCTCAAAACTAGCCAAATATCCACTTGCAGATTCCACAAAAAGAGCGTTTCAAAACTTCTCTATGAAAAGAAAGGTTCTACTCCTTTGGTTGAGGACACACATCACGAGTAAGTTTCTGAGAATGCTTCTGTCTAGTTTTTATGGGAAGATATTTCCTTTTTCACCTTAGGCCAGAAAGCGCTCCAAATGTCCACTTACAGACACTGCAAAAGAGTGTTTCAAACCTGGTCTGTGAAAGGGAATGTTCAATTCTGTGACTTGAATGCAATCATCACAAAGAAGTTTCTGAGAATGGTGCTGTCTGCTTTTTATATGTAATCCCGTTTCCAACGAAATCCTCAAATGTAGCCAAATATCCACTTGCAGATTCCACAAAAAGAGTGTTTCAAAACTGTTCTGTCAAAAGAAATGTTCAACTGTGTTAGTTGAGGACACACATCAGAAACTAGTTTCTGAGAAGGCTTCTGTCTAGTTGTTATGGGAAGATATTTCCTTTTCCAACGCAGGCCTGAAAACGCTCCAAATGTCCACTACCATATACTAAAAATAGAGTGTTTCAAACCTGCTCTATGAAAGCGAATGTTCAACTCTGTGACGTGAATGCAGACATCACAAAGCAGTTTCTGAGAATGCTTCTGTCTCGATATTACATGAAGATATTCCCGTTTCCAATGAAATCTCCAAAGTTATCCAAATATCCACTTGCAGATTCTACATAAAAGGTGTTTCCAAACTGCTGTATCAAAAGAAAGGTTCAACTCTGTTAGTTGAGGACATACATCACAAATAAGTTTCTGAGAATGCTTCTGTCTATTTTTTATGGGAAGATATTTCCTTTTTCACCATAGGCCTGAAAGCCCTCGAAATGTCCACTTCCAGATACTACAGAAAGAGTGTTTGAATCCTGCTCTATGAAAGGGAATGTTCAACTCTGTGACTTAAAAGCAAACATCACAAAGCAGCTTCTGAGAATGCTGCTGTCTACTTTGTATATGTAATCCCGTTTCCAACGAAATCCTCAAAGCTATCCAAATATCATCCTGCAGATTCCACGAAAAGACGGTTTCAAACCTGCTCTAAGAAAGGGAATATTGAACTCTGTGACTTGAATACAGATATCACAAAGTAGTTTCTGAGAGTGCTTCTGTCTAGGGTTTATATGATGCTATTCCCGTTTCCAACGAAATAACTTGAGCTATCCAAATATCCACTTGCAGATTCTACAGAAAGAGTGTTTCCAAACTGCAGTATCAAAAGACAGGTTGTACTCTGTTACTTGAGGACACACATCACAAAGCATTTTGTGAGAATGCCCCTATCTAGATTTTACCTGAAGATATTCCTGTTTCCAATGAAACCCTTAAAGCTTTCCAAATATCAACTTGCAGATTCTCCAACTGAGTCTTTCAGAACTACTCTGTAAATAGAAATGTTCAACTCTGTTAGTTGAAGACATACATCACAAACGAGTTTGTGAGAATGCTTCTGTCTAGTTTTTATGGAAAGATATTTCCTTTTGCACCGTAAGCATCAAAGCGCTCCAAGTGTCCACATCCAGATACTACAGAAAGAGTGTTTCAAACCTGCTCTATGAAAGCGAATGTTCAACTCTGTGACGTGAATGCAGACATCACAAAGCAGTTTCTGAGAATGCTTCTGTCTCGATTTTACATGAAGATATTCCCGTTTCCAACGAAATCTTCAAAGTTATCCAAATATCCACTTGCAGATTCTCCAATTGAGTCTTTCAAAAGTGCTCTGTAAATAGAAAGGTTCAACTCTGTTAGTTGAGGACATACATCACAAACCAGTTTGTGAGAATGCTTCTGTCTAGTTTTTATGGGAAGATATTTCCTTTTGCACCGTAAGCGTCAAAGCGCTCCAAGTGTCCACATCCAGATACTACAGAAAGAGTGTTTCAAACCTGCTCTATGAAAGCGAATGTTCAACTCTGTGATGTGAATGCAGACATCACAAAGCAGTTTCTGAGAATGCTTCTGTCTCGATTTTACATGAAGATATTCCCGTTTCCAACGAAATCTTCAAAGTTATCCAAATATCCACTTGCAGATTCTACAAAAAGAGTGTTTCCAAACTCCTGTATCAAAAGAAAGGTTCAACTCTGTTAGTTGAGGACACACATCACAAATAAGTTTCTGAGAATGCTTCTGTCTAGTTTTTATGGGAAGATATTTCCTTTTTCACCATAGGCCTGAAAGCGCTCGAAATGTCCACTTCCAGATACTACAGAAAGAGTGTTTCAAACCTGCTCTATGAAAGGGAATGTTCAACTCTGTGACTTAAAAGCAAACATCACAGAGAAGCTTCTGAGAATGCTACTGTCTACTTTGTATGTGTAATCCCGTTTGCAACGAAATCCTGAAAGCTATCCAAATATCCACCTGCAGATTCTAAGAAAAGAAGGTTTCAAACCTGCTCTAAGAAAGGGAATATTCAACTCTGTGACTTGAATGCAGATATCACAAAGTAGTTCCTGAGAGTGCTTCTGTCTAGATTTTATATGAAGATATTCCCGTTTCCAACGAAATACTTCGAGCTATCCAAATATCCCCTTGCATATTCTACAAAAAGAGTATTTCCAAACTTCTGTATCATAAGAGAGGTTGAACTCTGTTAGTTGAGGACACACATCACAAAGAAGTTTCTGAGAATGCTTCTGTCTGGTTTTTATGGGAAGATATTTCCTTTTTCACCAAAGGCGTCAAAGCGCTCCAAATGTCCACTTCCAGATAATACAATGAGTGTTTCAAACCTGCTCTAATAAAAGGAATGTTCAACTCTGTG
>NC_000018.10:20571466-20582635 GCF_000001405.40 Homo sapiens
TGCATAAATGTCTTCTTTTGAGAAGTGTCTGTTCATGTCCTTCGCCCACTTTTTGATGAGGTTGTTTGTTTTTTTCTTGTAAATTTGTTTGAGTTCATTGTAGATTCTGGATATTAGCCCTTTGTCAGATGAGTAGGTTGTGAAAATTTTCTCCCATGTTGTAGGTTGCCTGTTCACTCTGCTGGTAGTTTCTTTTGCTGTGCAGAAGCTCTTTAGTTTAATTAGATCCCATTTGTCAATTTTGTCTTTTGTTGCCATTGCTTTTGGTGTTTTGGACATGAAGTCCTTGCCCACGCCTATGTCCTGAATGGTAATGCCTAGGTTTTCTTCTAGGGTTTTTATTGTTTTAGGTTTAACGTTTAAATCTTTAATCCATCTTGAATTGATTTTTGTATAAGGTGTAAGGAAGGGATCCAGTTTCAGCTTTCTACATATGGCTAGCCAGTTTTCCCAGCACCATTTATTAAATAGGGAATCCTTTCCCCATTGCTTGTTTTTCTCAGGTTTGTCAAAGATCAGATAGTTGTAGATATGCGGCATTATTTCTGAGGGCTCTGTTCTGTTCCATTGATCTATATCTCTGTTTTGGTACCAGTACCATGCTGTTTCGGTTACTGTAGCCTTGTAGTATAGTTTGAAGTCAGGTAGTGTGATGCCTCCAGCTTTGTTCTTTTGGCTTAGGATTGACTTGGCGATGCGGGCTCTTTTTTGGTTCCATATGAACTTTAAAGTAGTTTTTTCCAATTCTGTGAAGAAAGTCGTTGGTAGCTTGATGGGGATGGCATTGAATCTGTAAATTACCTTGGGCAGTATGGCCATTTTCATGATATTGATTCTTCCTACCCATGAGCATGGAATGTTCTTCCATTTGTTTGTGTCCTCTTTTATTTCCTTGAACAGTGGTTTGTAGTTTTCCTTGAAGAGGTCCTTCACATCCCTTGTAAGTTGGATTCCTAGGTATTTTATTCTCTTTGAAGCAATTGTGAATGGGAGCTCACCCATGATTTGGCTCTCTGTTTGTCTGTTGTTGGTGTATAAGAATGCTTGTGATTTTTGTACATTGATTTTGTATCCTGAGACTTTGCTGAAGTTGCTTATCAGCTTAAGGAGATTTTGGGCTGAGACGATGGGGTTTTCTAGATAAACAATCATGTCGTCTGCAAACAGGGACAATTTGAATTCCTCTTTTCCTAATTGAATACCATTTATTTCCTTCTCCTGCCTGATTGCCCTGGCCAGAACTTCCAACACTATGTTGAATAGGAGCGGTGAGAGAGGGCATCCCTGTCTTGTGCCAGTTTTCAAAGGGAATGCTTCCAGTTTTTGCCCATTCAGTATGATATTGGCTGTGGGTTTGTCATAGATAGCTCTTATTATTTTGAGATACGTCCCATCAATACCTAATTTATTGAGAGTTTTTAGCATGAAGGGTTGTTGAATTTTGTCAAAGGCTTTTTCTGCATCTATTGAGATAATCATGTGGTTTTTGTCTTTGGCTCTGTTTATATACTGGATTACATTTATTGATTTGCGTATATTGAACCAGCCTTGCATCCCAGGGATGAAGCCCACTTGATCATGGTGGATAAGTTTTTTGATGTGCTGCTGGATTCGGTTTGCCAGCATTTTATTGAGGACAGTCTAGTTTTTATGGGAAGATATTTCCTTTTTCCACATAGGCCTGAAATCGCTCGAAATGTCCTCTTCCAAATACTACAGAAAGAGAGTTTCAAACCTGCCTATGGAAGGGAATATTCAACTCTGTGACTTAAAAGGAAACATCACAAAGAAGCTCCTGAGAATGCTGCTGTCTACTTTTTATATGTAATGCCGTCTCCAACGAAATCCTCAGAGCTATCCTAATATCCATTTGCAGATTCCACAAAAAGAGCTTTTCAAAACTGATCTATAAAGAGATAGGTTCAACTCTGTCAGTTCAGTACATGTATCCCAAAGAAGTTTCTTAGAATGTTTCGGTCTAGTTTTGATGGGAAGACATATCCTTTTACACCAAAGGCATCAAAGCGCTCCAAATTTCCAGTTCCAGATACTACAAAAAGAGTGTTTCAAACCTGCTTTAAGAAAGGAAATGTTCAACTCTGTGACTTGAATGCAGGTATCACGAAGCAGTTTCTGAGAATGTTTCTGTCTAGTTTTTCCATGAAGATACTCCCCTTTCCAACGAAATCCACAAAGCTATCCAAATATCCACTTGCAGATTCTACAAAAAGCGAGTTTCCAAACTGCTCTGTCAAACGAAATGTTCAACTCTGTGAGTTGAGGACACACATCACAAACAAGTTTCTGCGAATGCTTCTGTCTAGTTTGCATGGGAAGATATTTCCTTGTTCACCATAGGCCAGAAAGTGCTCGAAATGTCCACTTCCAGATACTACAGAGAGAGTGTTTGAAACCTGCCCTATGAAACTCAGTCTTCAACTGTGTACTTAAAAGCAAACATCACAAAGAAGCTTCTGAGAATGCTGCTGTCTAATTTGTATGTGTAATCCCGTTTCCAACGAAATCCTCAAAGCCATCCAAATATCCTACCGCAGATTCCACAGAAAGACGGTTTCAAACCCGCTCTTAGAAAGGGAATATTCAACTCTGTGATATGAATGCAGATATCACAAAGTAGATTCTCAGAGTGCTTCTGTCTAGATTTTATATGAAGATATTTCCGTTTCCAACGAAATAGTTAGAGCTATCCATATATCCAGTTGCAAATTCTATAAAAAGAGTGTTTCCAAGCTGCTGTATCATAAGAATGGTTGAACTCTGTTAGTTCAGGACCCGCATCACAAAGAAGTTTCTGAGAATGCTTCTGTCTAGTTTTTATGGGAAGATATTTCCTTTTTCCTCAAAGGGCTGAAATCGCTCGAAGTGTCCACTTCCAGATACTACAGAAAGAGTGTTTCAAACCTGCTCTATGGAAAGGAATATTCAACTCTGTAACTTAAAAGCAAACATCACAAAGAAGCTCCTGAGAATGCTGCTGTCTACTTTTTATATGTAATCCCGTCTCCAATGAAATCCTCAGAGCTATCCTAATATCCATTTGCAGATTCCACAAAAAGAGCTTTTCCAAACTGATCTATAAAGAGAAAGGTTCAACTGTGTTAGTTGAGTACATCTATCCCAAAGAAGTTTCTTAGAATGCTTCGGTCTAGTTTTGACGGGAAGACATTACCTTTTTCACCAAAGGCGTCAAAGCGCTCCAAATGTCCACTTCCGGATACTACAAAAAGAGTGTTTCAAAGCTGCTTTACGAAAGGAAATGTTCAACTCTCTGACTTCAATGCAGATACCAAAAAGCAGTTTCTGAGAGTGCCAATGTCTGGATTTAATATGAAGGTAATCCCGTTTCCAAGGAAGTCTTTAGAGCTATCTAAATAGCCACTTGCAGATGCTACAAAACGAGTGTTTCCAAACTGCTGTATCAAAAGACAGGTTGTACTCTGTTAGTTGAGGACACACATCACAAAGAAGTTTCTGAGAATGCCTCTGTCTAGATTTTACCTGAAGATATTCCGGTTTCCAATGAAATCCCTAAAGCTCCCAAATATCCACTGGCAGATTCTCCAAAAAGAGTCTTTCAAAACTGCTCTGTAAAGAGAAATGTTCAACTTTGTTAGTTGAGGACACACATCACAAACCAGTTTGTGAGAATGCTTCTGTCTAGTTTTTATGGGAAGATATTTCCTTTCTCACCGTAAGCGTCCAAGCGCTCCAAGTGTCCACATTCAGATACTATAGAAAGACTGTTTCAAACCTGCTCTATGAAAGGGAATGTTCAACTCTGTGACGTGAATGCAGATATCACAAAGCAGTTTCTGAGAATGTTTCTGTCTAGGTTTTCTATGAAGATTCTCCCGTTTCCAACGAAATCCACAAAGCTATCCAAATATCAACTTGCAGATTCTACAAAAAGCGTGTTTCCAAACTGCTCTGTCCAACGAAATGTTCAACTCTGTGAGTTGAGGACACACATCACAAACAAGTTTCTGTGAATGCTTCTGTGTAGTTTTCATGGGAAGATATTTCCTTGTTCACCATAGGCGTGAAAGCGCTCGAAATGTCTACTTCCAGATACTAGAGTAAGAGTGTTTGAAACTGCTCTATGAAAAGGAATGTTCAACTCTGTGACCTAAAAGCAAACATCACAAAGAAGTTTCTGAGAATGCTGCTGTCTACTTTGTATATGTATTCCCGTTTCCAACGAAATCCTCATAGCTATCCAAATATGTTCCTGCAGATTCCACAGAAAGACGGTTTCAAACCCGCTCTTAGAAAGGGAATATTCAACTCTGTGATATGAATGCAGATATCACAAAGTATTTTCTGAGAGTGCTGCTGTCTAGATTTTATATGAAGATATTCCCGTTTACAACGAAATAGTTAGAGCTATCCATATATCCAGTTGCAAATTCTATAAAAAGCGTATTTCCATGCTGCTGTATCATAAGAATGGATGAACTCTGTTAGTTGAGGACCCACATTACAAAGAAGTTTTTGAGAATGCTTCTGTCTAGTTTTTATGGGAAGATATTGATTTTTTCCACATAGGCCTGAAATCGCTCGAAATGTCCACTTCCAGATACTACAGAAAGATTGTTTGAAACCTGCTCTATTGAAGGGAATATTCAACTCTGTGACTTAAAAGCAAACATCACAAAGAAGTTCCTGACAATGCTGCTGTCTACTTTTTATATGTAATCCCGTGTCCAACGACATCCTCAGAACTATCCTAATATCCGTTTGCAGATTCCACAAAAAGAGGTTTTCAAAACTGATCTATAAAGAGAAAGGTTCACCTCTGTTAGTTGAGTACATATATCCCAATGAAGTTTCTTAGAATGCTACATTCTAGTTTTGATGGCAAGACATTTCCTTTTTCACCAAAGGTGTCAAAGCACTCCAAAAGTCCACTTCCAGATACTACAAAAAGGGTGCTTCAAACCTGCTTTACAAAAGGAAATGTTCAACTCTGTGACTTGAATGCAGATATCACAAAGCAGTTTCTGAGAGTGCCACTGTCTAGATTTTATATGAAGGTATTCCCGTTTCCAACGAAAACGTTAGAGCTATCCATATATCCAGTTGCAAATTCTATAAAAAGAGTGTTTCCAAGCTGCTGTATCATAAGAAAGGTTGAACTCTGTTAGTTGAGGACCCACATCACGAAGAAGTTTTTGAGAATGCTTCTGTCTACTTTTTATGGGAAGATATTTCCTTTTTCCACATAGGCCTGAAATCGCTCGAAATGTCCACTTCCAGATACTACAGAAAGAGTGTTTCAAACCTGCTCTATGGAAGGGAATGTTCAACTCTGTGACTTAAGAGCAAACAACACAAAGAAGCTCCTGAGAATGCTGCTGTCTACTATTTAAATGTAATCCCGTCTCCAACGACATCCTCAGAGCTATCCTAATATCCATTTGCAGATTCCACAAAAAGAGGTTTTCAAAGCTGATCTATAAAGAGAAAGGTTCAACTCTGTTAGTTGAGTACATATATCCCAAAAATGTTTCTTAGAATGCTGTATTCTAGTTTTGATGGGAAGACATTTCCTTTTTCACCAAAGGCGTCAAAGCGCTCCAAATGTCCAGTTCCAGATACTACAAAAAGAGAGTTTCAAACCTGCTTTATGAAAAGAAATGTTCAACTCTGTGACTTGAATGCAGATATCACAAACCAGTTTCTGAGAGTGCCACTGTCTGGATTTTATATGAAGATATTCCCGTTTCCAACGAAATAGTTAGAGCTATCCATATATCCAGTTGCAAATTCTATAAAAAGAGTGTTTCCAAGCTGCTGTATCATAAGAAAGGTTGAACTCTGTTAGTTGAGTACCAACATCACAAAGAAGTTTCTGAGAATGCTTCTGCCTAGTTTTTATGGGAAGAGTTTTCCTTTTTCCACATAGGCCTGAAATCGCTCGAAATGTCCACTTCCAGATAGTACAGAAAGAATGTTTCAAACCCACTCTATGGAAGGGAATATTGAACTCTGTGACTTAAAGCAAACATTACAAAGAAGCTCCTGAGAATGCTGCTGTCCACTTTTTATATGTAATCCCGTCTCCAACGAAGTCCTCAGAGCTATCCTAATATCCATTTGCATATTCCACAAAAAGAGCTTTTCAAAACTCATCTATAAAGAGAAAGGTTCAAAACTGTTAGTTGAGTACATATATCCCAAAGAAGTTTCTTACAATGCTTCGGTCTAGTTTTGATGGGAAGACATTTCCTTTTTCACCAAAGGCGTCAAAGCGCTCCAAATGTCCACTTCCAGATACTACAAAAAGAGTGTTTCAAACCTGCTTTACGAAAGGAAATGTTCAACCCTGTGACCTGAATTCAGATATCAAAAATCAGTTCCTGAGAGTGCCACTGTCTAGATTTTATATGAAAGTATTCCCGTTTCCAAAAAAATCGTGAGAGCTATCCAAATATCCACTTGCAGATTCTACAAAAGGAGTGTTTCCAAACTGCTGTATCAAAAGACAGGTTGTACTCTGTCAGTTGAGGACACACATCACAAAGAAGTTTCTGAGAATACCTCTGTCTAGATTTCACCTGAAGATATTCCGGTCTCCCATGAAATCCTTAAAGTTCTCCAAATATCCACTTGCAAATTCTCCAAAAAGAGTCCTTCAAAACTGCTCTGTAAATAGAAATGTTCAACTCTGTTCGTTGAGGACATACATCACAAACCAGTTTGTGAGAATGCTTCTGTCTAGTTTTTATGGGAACATATTTCCTTTTTCACCGTAATCTTCCATGCGCACCAAGTGTCCACATCCAGATACTACAGAAAGACTGTTTCAAACCTGCTCTCTGAAAGGGAATGTTCAACTCTGTGACGTGAATGCAGATATCACAAAGCAGTTTCTGAGAATATTTCTGTCTAGGATTTCTATGAAGATACTCCCGTTTCCAACGAAATCCACAAAGCTATCCAAATATCCACTTGCAGATTCTGCAAAAAGCGTGTTTCCAAACTGCTCTGTCCAACGAAATGTTCAACACTATGAGTTGAGGACACACATCACAAACAAGTTTCTGCCAAACCTTCTGTCTAGTTTTCATGGGAAGATATTTCCTTGTTCACCATAGGCCTGAAAGCGTTCGAAATATCCACTTTCAGATACTACAGAGAGAGATTTTGAAACCTGCTCTATTAAAGGGAATGTTCAACTCTGTGACTTAAAAGCAAACATGACAAAGAAGCTTCTGAGAATGCTGCTGTCTACTTTGTATGTGTAATCCCGTTTCCAACGAAATCCTCAAAGCTATCCAAATATCGTCCTGCAGATTCCACAGAAAGACGGTTTAAACCTGCTCTTAAAAATGGAATATTCAACTCAGTGATATGAATGCAGATATCGCAAAGTATTTTGTGAGAGTGCTTCTGTCTAGATTTTATATGAAGATATTCCGGTTTCCAACTACATAGATAGAGCTATCCATATATCCAGGTGCAAATTCTATAAAAACAGTGTTTCCAAGCTGCTGTATCAAAAGACAGGTTGTAGTCTGTCAGTTGAGGACACACATCACAAAGAAGTTTCTGAGAATGCCTCTGTCTAGATTTCACCTGAAGATATTCCGGTTTCCAAAGAAATCCTAAAAGCTCTCAAAATATCCACTTGCACATTCTCCAAAAAGAGTCTTTCAAAACTGCTCTGTAAATAGAAATGTTCAACTCTGTTAGTTGAGGACATACATCACAAACCAGTTTGTGAGAATGTTTCTGTCTAGTTTTTATGGGAAGATATTTCCTTTTTCACCGTAAGCGTCCAAGCGCTCCAAGTGTCCACATCCAGATACTACAGAAAGAGTGTTTCAAACCTGCTCTACGAAAGGGAATGTTCAACTCTGTGACGTGAATGCAGATATCACAAAGCAGTTTCTGAGAATGTTTCTGTCTAGGTTTTCTATGAAGATACTCCCGTTTCCAACGAAATCCACAAAGCCATCCAAATATCCACTTGCAGATTCTACAAAAATCGTGTTTCCAAACTGCTCTGTCAAACGAAATGTTCAACTCTGTGAGTTGAGGACACACATCACAAACAAGTTTCTGCGAATGCTTCAGTCTAGTTTGCATGGGAAGATATTTCCTTGTTCACCATAGGCCTGAAAGCACTCGAAATGTCCACTTCCAGATACTACAGAGAGAGTGTTTGAAACCTGCCCTATGAAAGGCAATGTTCAACTGTGTGACTTAAAAGCAAACATCACAAAGAAGCTTCTGAGAATGCTGCTGTCGACTTTGTATGTGTAATCCCGTTTCCAACGAAATCCTCAAAGCTATCCAAATATACTACCGCAGATTCTACAGAAAGACGGTTCAAACCCGCTCTTAGAAAGGGAATATTCAACTCTGTGATATGAATGCAGATATCACAAAGAAGTTTCTGAGAGTGCTTCTGCCTAGGTTTTATATGAAGATATTCCCGTTTCCAACGAAAACGTTAGAGCTATCCATATATCCAGTTGCAAATTCTATAAAAAGAGTGTTTCCAAGCTGCTGTATCATAAGAAAGGTTGAACTCTGTTAGTTGAGGACCCACATCACGAAGAAGTTTTTGAGAATGCTTCTGTCTACTTTTTATGGGAAGATATTTCCTTTTTCCACATAGGCCTGAAATCGCTCGAAATGTCCACTTCCAGATACTACAGAAAGAGTGTTTCAAACCTGCTCTATGGAAGGGAATGTTCAACTCTGTGACTTAAGAGCAAACAACACAAAGAAGCTCCTGAGAATGCTGCTGTCTACTATTTAAATGTAATCCCGTCTCCAACGACATCCTCAGAGCTATCCTAATATCCATTTGCAGATTCCACAAAAAGAGGTTTTCAAAGCTGATCTATAAAGAGAAAGGTTCAACTCTGTTAGTTGAGTACATATATCCCAAAAATGTTTCTTAGAATGCTGTATTCTAGTTTTGATGGGAAGACATTTCCTTTTTCACCAAAGGCGTCAAAGCGCTCCAAATGTCCAGTTCCAGATACTACAAAAAGAGAGTTTCAAACCTGCTTTATGAAAAGAAATGTTCAACTCTGTGACTTGAATGCAGATATCACAAACCAGTTTCTGAGAGTGCCACTGTCTGGATTTTATATGAAGATATTCCCGTTTCCAACGAAATAGTTAGAGCTATCCATATATCCAGTTGCAAATTCTATAAAAAGAGTGTTTCCAAGCTGCTGTATCATAAGAAAGGTTGAACTCTGTTAGTTGAGTACCAACATCACAAAGAAGTTTCTGAGAATGCTTCTGCCTAGTTTTTATGGGAAGAGTTTTCCTTTTTCCACATAGGCCTGAAATCGCTCGAAATGTCCACTTCCAGATAGTACAGAAAGAATGTTTCAAACCCACTCTATGGAAGGGAATATTGAACTCTGTGACTTAAAGCAAACATTACAAAGAAGCTCCTGAGAATGCTGCTGTCCACTTTTTATATGTAATCCCGTCTCCAACGAAGTCCTCAGAGCTATCCTAATATCCATTTGCATATTCCACAAAAAGAGCTTTTCAAAACTCATCTATAAAGAGAAAGGTTCAAAACTGTTAGTTGAGTACATATATCCCAAAGAAGTTTCTTACAATGCTTCGGTCTAGTTTTGATGGGAAGACATTTCCTTTTTCACCAAAGGCGTCAAAGCGCTCCAAATGTCCACTTCCAGATACTACAAAAAGAGTGTTTCAAACCTGCTTTACGAAAGGAAATGTTCAACCCTGTGACCTGAATTCAGATATCAAAAATCAGTTCCTGAGAGTGCCACTGTCTAGATTTTATATGAAAGTATTCCCGTTTCCAAAAAAATCGTGAGAGCTATCCAAATATCCACTTGCAGATTCTACAAAAGGAGTGTTTCCAAACTGCTGTATCAAAAGACAGGTTGTACTCTGTCAGTTGAGGACACACATCACAAAGAAGTTTCTGAGAATACCTCTGTCTAGATTTCACCTGAAGACATTCCGGTCTCCATGAAATCCTTAAAGCTCTCCAAATATCCACTAGCAAATACTCCAAAAGAGTCCTTCAAAACTGCTCTGTAAATAGAAATGTTCAACTCTGTTAGTTGAAGACATACATCACAAACCAGTTTGTGAGAATGCTTCTGTCTAGTTTTTATGGGACATATTTCCTTTTTCACCATAAGCGTCCAAGCGCACCAAGTGTCCACATCCAGATACTACAGAAAGACTGTTTCAAACCTGCTCTATGAAAGGGAATGTTCAACTCTGTGACGTGAATGCAGATATCACAAAGCAGTTTCTGAGAATATTACTGTCTAGGATTTCTATGAAGATACTCCCGTTTCCAACGAAATCCACAAAGCCATCCAAATATCCACTTGCAGATTCTACAAAAAGCGTGTTTCCAAACTGCTCTGTCAAACGAAATGTTCAACACTATGAGTTGAGGACACACATCACAAACAAGTTTCTGCCAAACCTTCTGTCTAGTTTGCATGGGAAGATATTTCCTTGTTCACCATAGGCCTGAAAGCGCTCGAAATATCCACTTCCAGATACTACAGAAAGAGAGTTTGAAACCTGCTCTATGAAAGGGAACGTTCAACTCTGTGACTTAAAAGCAAACATCACAAAGAAGCTTCTGAGAATGCTGCTGTCTACTTTGTATATGTAATCCCGTTTCCAACGTAATCCTCAAAGCTATCCAAATATCCTCCTGCAGATTCCACAAAAAGACGCTTTCAAACCTGCCCTTAGAAAGGGAATATTCAACTCTCTGATATCAATGCAGATATCACAAAGTAGTTTCTGAGAGTGTTTCTGTCTAGGTTTTATATGAAGATATTCCCGTTTCCAACGAAATAGTTAGGGCTATCCATATATCAACATGCAAATTCTATAAAAAGAGTGTTTCCAAACTGCTGTATCATAAGAAAGGTTGAACTCTGTTAGTTGAGGACACACATCACAAAGACGTTTCTGAGAATGCTTCTGTCTAGTTTTTATGTAGAGATATTTCCTTTTTCAACATAGGCCTGAAATCGATCGAAATGTCCACTTCCAGATACTACAGAAAGAGTGTTTCAAACCTGCTCTATTGAAGGGAATATTCAACTCTGTGACTTAAAAGCAAACATCACAAAGAATCTCCTGAGAATGCTGCTGTCTACTTTCTTT
>NC_000018.10:20582735-20603147 GCF_000001405.40 Homo sapiens
CCGTTTCCACGAAATCGTTAGAGCTATCCAAATATCCACTCGCAGATTCTACAGAAAGAGTGTTTCAATACTGCTGTATCAAAAGACAGGTTGTACTCTGTTAGCTGAGGACATACATCCCAAACCAGTTTGTGGGAATGCTTCTGTCAAGTTTTTATGGGAAGATATTTCCTTGTTCACCATAGGCCTGAAAGCGCTCGAAATGTCCTCTTCCAGATACTACAGAAAGAGTGTTTGAAACCTGCTCTCTGAAAGGGAATGTTCAACTCTGTGACTTAAAAGCAAACATCACAAAGCAGCTTCTGAGAATGCTGCTGTCTACTTTGTATATGTAATCCCGTTTCCGACGAAATCCCCAAAGCTATCCAAATATCCTCCTGCAGATTCCACGAAAAGACGGTTTCAAACCTGCTCTAAGAAAGGGAATATTCAACTCTGTGACTTGAATACAGATATCACAAAGTAGTTTCTGAGAGTGCTTCTGTCTAGAGTTTATATGAAGCTATTCCCGTTTCCAACGAAATAGCTTGAGCTATCCAAATATCCACTTGTAGATTCTACAGAAAGAGTGTTTCCAAACTGCTGAATCAAAAGACAGGTTGTACTCTGTTACTTGAGGACACACATCACAAAGAAGTTTCTGAGAATGCCCTTGTCGAGATTTTACGTGAAGATATTCCGGTTTCCAATGAAATCCTTAAAGCTTTCCAAATATCCACTTGCAGATTCTCCAATAGAGTCTTTCAAAACAGCTCTGTAAATAGAAAGGTTCAACTCTGTTAGCTGAGGACATACATCACAAACCAGTTTGTGAGAATGCTTCTGTCTAGTTTTAATGGGAAGATATTTCCTTTTGCACCGTAAGCGTCAAAGCGCTCCAAGTGTCCACATCCAGATACTGCAGAAAGAGTTTTTCAAACCTGCGCTATGAAAGCGAATGTTCAACTCTGTGACGTGAATGCAGACATCACAAAGCTGTTTCTGAAGAATGCTTCTGTCCCGATTTTACATGAAGATATTCCCGTTTCCAACGAAATCTTCAAAGTTATCCAAATATCCACTTGCAGATTCTACAAAAAGAGTGTTTCCAAACTGCTGTATCAAAAGAAAGGTTCAACTCTGTTAGTTGAGGACATACATCACAAATAAGTTTCTGAGAATGCTTCTGTCTAGTTTTTATGGGAAGATATTTCCTTTTTCACCATAGGCCTGAAAGCCCTCGCAATGTCCACTTCCAGATACTACAGAAAGAGTGTTTCAAACCTGCTCTATGAAAGGGAATGCTCAACTCTGTGACTTAAAAGCAAACATCACAGAGAAGCTTCTGAGAATGCTACTGTCTACTTTGTATATGTAATCCTGTTTCCAACGAAATCCTGAAAGCTATCCAAATATCCACCTGCAGATTCCAAGAAAAGACGGTTTCAAACCTGCTCTAAGAAAGGGAATATTCAACTCTGTGACTTGAATGCAGATAGCACAAAGTAGTTTCGGAGAGTGCTTCTGTCTAGATTTTATATGAAGATATTCCCGTTTCCAATGAAATAGTTCGAGCTATACAAATATCCCCTTGCATATACTACAAAAAGAGTGTTTCCAAACTTCTGTAGCATAAGAGAGGTTGAACTCTGTTAGTTGAGGACACACATCACAAAGAAGTTTCTGGGAATGCTTCTGTCTAGTTTTGAAGAGAAGATATTTCCTTTTTCAGCAAAGGCGTCAAAGCGCTCCAAATGTCCACTTCCAGATACTACAAAAAGAGTGTTTCAAACCTGCTCTAATAAAGGGAATGTTCAACTCTGTGACTTGAATGCACATATCACAGAGCAGTTTCTGAGAGTGCCTGTGTCTAGATTTTATACTAAAGTATTCCCGTTTCCAACGAAATCGTTAGAGCTATCCAAATATCCACTTGCAGATTCTACAGAAAGAGTGTTTCAATACTGCTGTATCAAAAGACAGGTTGTACTCTGTTAGCTGAGGACATACATCCCAAACCAGTTTGTGAGAATGCTTCTGTCAAGTTTGTATGGGAAGATATTTCCTTGTTCACCATAGGCCTGAAAGCGCTCGAAATGTCCTCTTCCAGATACTACAGAAAGAGTGTTTGAAACCTGCTCTCTGAAAGGGAATGTTCAACTCTGTGACTTAAAAGCAAACATCACAAAGCAGCTTCTGAGAATGCTGCTGTCTACTTTGTATATGTAATCCCGTTTCCGAAGAAATCCCCATAGCTATCCAAATATCCTCCTGCAGATTCCACGAAAAGACGGTTTCAAACCTGCTCTAAGAAAGGGAATATTCAACTCTGTGACTTGAATACAGATATCACAAAGTAGTTTCTGAGAGTGCTTCTGTCTAGAGTTTATATGAAGCTATTCCCGTTTCCAACGAAATAGATTGAGCTATCCAAATATCCACTTGTAGATTCTACAGAAAGAGTGTTTCCAAACTGCTGTATCAAAAGACAGGTTGTACTCTGTTACTTGAGGACACACATCACAAAGAAGTTTCTGAGAATGCCCTTGTCGAGATTTTACCTGAAGATATTCCGGTTTCCAATGAAATCCTTAAAGCTTTCCAATTATCCACTTGCAGATTCTCCAATAGAGTCTTTCAAAACAGCTCTGTAAATAGAAAGGTTCAACTCTGTTAGCTGAGAACATACATCACAAACCAGTTTGTGAGAATGCTTCTGTCTAGTTTTTATGGGAAGATATTTCCTTTTGCACCGTAAGCGTCAAAGCGCTCCGATTGTCCACATCCAGATACTGCAGAAAGAGTGTTTCAAACCTGCTCTATGAAAGCGAATGTTCAACTCTGTGACGTGAATGCAGACATCACAAAGCTGTTTCTGAGAATGCTCTGTCTAGATTATATACTAAATTATTCCCGTTTCCAACGAAATCGTTAGAGCTATCCAAATATCCACTTGCAGATTCTACAGAAAGAGTGTTTCAATACTGCTGTATCAAAAGACAGGCTGTACTCTGTTAGCTGAGGACATACATCCCAAAGCAGTTTGTGAGAATGCTTCTGAAAAGTTTGTATGGGAAGATATTTCCTTGTTCACCATAGGCCTGAAAGCGCTCGAAATGTCCTCTTCCAGATACTACAGAAAGAGTGTTTGAAACCTGCTCTATAAAAGGGAATGTTCAACTCTGTGACTTAAAAGCAAACATCACAAAGCAGCTTCTGAGAATGCTGCTGTCTACTTTGTATATGTAATCCCGTTTCCAACGAAATCCTCAAAGCTATCCAAATATACTCCTGCAGATTCCACGAAAAGACGGTTTCAAACCTGCTCTAAGAAAGGGAATATTCAACTCTGTGACTTGAATACAGATATCAGAAAGTAGTTTCTGACAGTGCTTCTGTCTAGAGTTTATATGAAGCTATTCCCGTTTCCAACGAAATAGCTTGAGCTATCCGAATATCCACTTGCAGGTTCTACAGAATGAGTGTTTCCAAAATGCTGTATCAAAAGACAGGTTGTACTCTGTTACTTGAGTACACAGGTCACAAAGACGTTTCTGAGAATGCCCTTGTCTAGATGTTACCTGAAGATATTCCGGTTTCCAATGAAATCCTTAAAGCTTTCCAAATATCCACTTGCAGATTCTCCAATTGAGTCTTTCCAAACTGCTCTGTAAATAGAAAGTTTCAACTCTGTTAGCTGAGGACATACATCACAAACCAGTTTGTGAGAATGCTTCTGTCTAGTTTTTATGGGAAGATATTTCCTTTTGCACCGTAAGCGTCAAAGCGCTCCAAGTGTCCACATCCAGATACTACAGAAAGAGTGTTTCAAACCTGCTCTATGAAAGCGAATATTCAAATCTGTGACGTGAATGCAGACATCACAAAGCAGTTTCTGAGAATGCTTCTGTCTCGATTTAACATGAAGATATTCCCGTTTCCAACGAAATACTTCGAGCTATCCAAATATCCCCTGGCATATTTTCCAAAAAGAGTGTTTCCAAACTTCTCTATCATAAGAGAGGTTTGACTCTGTTAGTTGAGGACACACATCACAAAGAAGTTTCTGAGAATGCTTCTGTCTAGTTTTTTAGGGAAGATATTTCCTTTTTCACCAAAGGCGTCAAAGCGCTCCAAATGTCCACTTCCAGATACTACAAAAAGAGTGTTTCAAACCTGCTCTAATAAAGGGAATGTTCAACTCTGTGACTTGAATGCACATATCACAAAGCAGTTTCTGAGAGTGCCTCTGTCTAGATTTTATACTAAAGTATTCCGTTTCCAAAGAAATCGTTAGAGCTATCCAAATATCCACTTGCAGATTCTACAGAAAGAGTGTTTCAATACTGCTGTATCAAAAGACAGGCTGTACTCTGTTAGCTGAGGACATAGATATCAAACGAGTTTGTGAGAATGCTTTTGTCAAGTTTGTATGGGAAGATATTTCCTTGTTCACCATAGCCCTGAAAGCGCTCGAAATGTCCTCTTCCAGATACTACAGAAAGAGTGTTGGAAACCTGCTCTATAAAAGGTAATGTTCAACTCTGTGACTTAAAAGCAAACATCACAAAGCAGCTTCTGAGAATGCTGCTGTCTACTTTTTATATGTAATCCCGTTTCCAGCGAAATCCTCGAAGCTATCCAAATATCCTCCTGCAGATTCCACGAAAAAACGGATTCAATCCTGCTCTAAGAAACTTAATATTCAACTCTGTGACTTGAATACAGATATCACAAAGTAGATTCTGAGAGTGCTTCTGTCTAGGGTTTATATGAAGCTATTTCCGTTTCGAACGAAATAGCTTGAGCTATCCAACTATCCACTTGCAGATTCTACAGAAAGAGTGTTTCCAAACTGCTGTATCAAAAGACAGGTTGTACTCTGTTGCTTGAGGACACACGTCACAAAGAAGTTTCTGAGAATGCCCTTGTCGAGATTTTACCTGAAGATATTCCGGTTTCCAATGAAATCCTTAAAGCTTTCCAAATATCCACTTGCAGATTCTCCAATTGAGTCAGTCAAAACTACTCTGTAAATAGAAAGTTTCAACTCTGTTAGCTGAGGACATACATCACAAACCAGTTTGTGAGAATGCTTCTGTCTAGTTTTTATGGGAAGATATTTCCTTTTGGACCATAAGCGTCAAAGCGCTCCAAGTGTCCACATCCAGATACTACAGAAAGAGTGTTTCAAACCTGCTCTATGAAAGCGAATGTTCAACTCTGTGACGTGAATGCAGACATCACAAAGCAGTTTCTGAGAATGCTTCTGTCTCGATTTAACATGAAGATATTCCCGTTTCCAACGAAATCTTCAAAGTTATCCAAATATCCCCTTGCAGATTCTACAAAAATAGTGTTTCCAAACTGCTGTATCAAAAGTAAGGTTCAACTCTGTTAGTTGAGGACACACATCACAAATAACTTTCGGAGAATGCTTCTGTCTAGTTTTTATGGGAAGATATTTCCTTTTTCACCATAGGCCTGAAAGGCCTCGAAATGTCCACTTCCAGATACTACAGAAAGAGTGTTTCAAACCTGCTCTATGAAAGGGAATGCTCAACTCTGTGACTTAAAAGCAAACATCACACAGAAGCTTCTGAGAATGTTACTGTCCACTTTGTATATGTAATCCCCATTCCAACGAAATCCTGAAAGCTATCCAAATATCCGCCTGCAGATTCAACGAAAAGACGGTTTCAAACCTGCTCTAAGAAAGGGAATTTTCGACTCTGTGACTTGAATGCAGATATCACAAATTAGTGTCTGAGAGTGCTTCTGTCTAGATTTTATATGAAGATATTACCGTCTCCAACGAAATACTTCCAGCTATCCAAATATCCTCTGGCATATTCTCCAAAAAGAGTGTTTCCAAACGTCTGTATCATAAGAGAGGTTGAACTCTGTTAGTTGAGGACACACGTCACAAAGAAGTTTCTGAGAATGCTTCTGTCTGGTTTTTTAGGGAAGTTATTTCCTTTTTCACCAAAGGCGTCAAAGCGCTCGAAATGTCCACTTCCAGATACTACAAAAAGAGTGTTTCAAACCTGCTCTAATAAAGGGAATGTTCAACTCTGTGACTTCAATGCACAGATCACAAAGCAGTTTCTGAGAGTGCCTCTGTCTAGATTTTATACTAAAGTATTCCCGCTTCCAACGAAATTGTTAGGGCTATCCAAATATACACTTGCAGATTCTACAGAAAGAGTGTTTCAATACTGCTCTATCAAAAGACAGGCTGTACTCTGTTAGCTGAGGACATACATCCCAAACCAGTTTGTGAGAATGCTTCTGTCAAGTTTGTATGGGGAGATATTTCCTTGTTCACCATAGGCCTGAAGGTGCTCGAAATGTCCTCTTCCAGATACTACAGAAAGAGTGTTTGACACCTGTTCTATAAAAGGGAATGTTCAACTCTGTGACTTAAAAGCAAACATCACAAAGCAGCTTCTGAGAATGCTGGTGTCTACTTTGTATATGTAATCCCGTTTCCAGCGAAATCCTCGAAGCTATCCAAATATCCTCCTGCAGATTCCACGAAAATACGGTTTCAAACTTGCTCTAAGAAAGGGAATATTCAACACTGTGTCTTGAATACAGATATCACAAAGTAGTTTCTGAGAGTGCTTCTGTCTAGAGTTTATATGAAGCTATTCCCGTTTCCAACGAAATAGCTTGAGCTATCCAAATATCCACTTGCAGATTCTACAGAAAGAATGTTTCCAAACTGCTGTATCAAAAGACCGGTTGTACTCTGTTACTTGAGGACACACATGAGAAAAAGTTTCTGAGAATGCCCTTGTCTAGATTTTACCTGAAGATATTCCGATTTCTAATGAAATCCTTAAAGCTTTCCAAATATCCACTTGCGGATTCTCCAATTGAGTCTTTCAAAACTGCTCTGTAAATAGAAAGGTTCAACTCTGTTAGCTGAGGACATACATCACAAACCAGTTTGTGAGAATGCTTCTGTCTAGTTTTTATGGGAAGATATTTCCTTTTGCACCGTAAGCGTCAAAGCACTCCAAGTGTCCACATCCAGATACTACAGAAAGAGTGTTTCAAACCTGCTCTATGAAAGCGAATGTTCAACTCTGTGACGTGAATGCAGACATCACAAAGCAGTTTCTGAGAATGCTTCTGTCTCGATTTAACATGAAGATATTCCCGTTTCCAAAGAAATACTTCGAGCTATCCAAATATCCCCTGGCATATTCTCCAAAAAGAGTGTTTCCAAACTTCTGTATCATAAGAGAGGTTGAACTCTATTAGTTGAGGACACACATCACAAAGAAGTTTCTGAGAGTGCTTCTGTCTACTTTTTTACTGAACATATTTCCTTTTTCACCAAAGGCGTCAAAGCACTCCAAATGTCTACTTCCAGATACTACAAAAAGAGTGTTTCAAACCTGCTCTAATAAAGGGAATGTTCACCTCTGTGAATTGAGTGCACATATCACAAAGCAGTTTCTGAGAGTGCCTCTGTCTAGATTTTATACTAAAGTATTCCCGTTTCCAACGAAATCGTTAGAGCTATCCAAATATCCACATGCAGATTCTACAGAAAGAGTGTTTCAATACTGCTGTATCAAAAGACAGGCTGTACTCTTTTAGCTGAGGACATACATCCCAAACCGGTTTGTGAGAATGCTTCTGACCAGTTTGTATGGGAAGATATTTCCTTGTTCACCATAGACCTGAAAGCGCTCGAAATGTCCTCTTCCAGATACTACAGAAAGAGTGTTTGAAACCTGCTCTATGAAAGGGAATGTTCAACTCTGTGAATAAAAAGCAAACATCACAAAGCAGCTTCTGAGAATGCTGCTGTCTACTTTGTATATGTAATCCCGTTTCCAACGAAATCCTCAAAGCTATCCAAATATCCTCCTACAGATTCCACGAAAAGACGGTTTCAAACCTGCTCTAAGAAAGGGAATATTCAACTCTGTGACTTGAATGCAGATATCACAAAGTAGTTTCTCAGAGTGCTTCTGTCTAGGTTTTATATGAAGATATTCCCGTTTCCAATGAAATAGTTCGAGCTATCCAAATATCCCCAGGCATATTCTCCAACAAGAGTGTTTCCAAACATCTGTATCATAAGAGAGGTTGAATTCCGTTAGTTGAGGACACACATCACAAAGAAGTTTCTGAGAATGCTTCTGTCTTGTTTTTTAGGGAAGATATTTCCTTTTTCACCAAAGGCGTCAAAGCGCTCCAAATGTCCACTTCAAGATACTACAAAAAGAGTGTTTCAAACCTGCTCTAATAAAGGGAATGTTCAAATCTGTGACTTGAATGCGCACATCACAAAGCAGTTTCTGAGAGTGCCTCTCTCTAGATTTATACTAAAGTATTCCCGTTTCCAAAGAAATCGTTAGAGCTATCCAAATATCCACTTGCAGATTCTACAGAAAGAGTGTTTCAATACTGCTGTATCAAAAGACAGGGTGTACTCTGTTAGCTGAGGACATACATCCCAAACCAGTTCGTGAGAATGCTTCTGTCAAGTTTCTATGGGAAGATATTTCCTTGTTCACCATAGGCCTGAAAGCGCTCGAAATGTCCTCTTCCAGATACTACAGAAAGAGTGTTTGAAACCTGCTCTATGAAAGTGAATGTTCAACTCTGTGACTTAAAAGCAAACATCACAAAGCAGCTTCTGAGAATGCTGCTGTCTACTTTGTATATGTAATCCCGTTTCCAACGAAATCCTCAAAGCTATCCAAATATCCTCCTGCAGATTCCACGAAAAGACGGTTTCAAACCTGCTCTAAGAAAGGGAATATTCAACTCTGTGACTTGAATACAGATATCACAAAGTAGTTTCTGACAGTGCTTCTGTCTAGAGTTTATATGAAGCTATTCCCGTTTCCAACGAAATAGCTTGAGCTATCCGAATATCGACTTGCAGATTCTACAGAAAGAGTGTTTCCAAACTGCTGTATCAAAACACAGGTGGTACTCTGTTACTTGAGGACACACATCACAAATGAGTTTCTGAGAATGCCCTTGTCTAGGTTTTACCTGAAGATATTCCGGTTTCCAATGAAATCCTTAAAGCTTTCCAAATATCCACTTTCAGGTTCTCCAATTGAGTCTTTCAAAACTGGTCTGTAAACAGAAAGGTTCAACTCTGTTAGCTGAGGACATACATCACAAACCAGTTTGTGAGAATGCTTCTGTCTAGTTTTTATGGGAAGATATTTCCTTTTGCACCGTAAGCGTCAAAGCGCTCCAAGTGTCCACATCCAGATACTACAGAAAGAGTGTTTCAAACCTGCTCTATGAAAGCGAATGTTCAACTCTGTGACGTGAATGCAGACATCACAAAGCAGTTTCTGAGAGTACTTCTGTCTCGATTTTACATGAAGATTTTCCCGTTTCCAACGAAATCTTCAAAGTTATCCAAATATCCACTTGCAGATTCTACAAAAAGAGTGTTTTCAAACTGCTGTATCAAAAGAAAGGTTCAACTCTGTTAGTTGAGGACACACATCACAATAAGTTTCTGAGAATACTTCTGTCTAGTTTTTATGGGAAGATATTTCCTTTTTCACCATACGCCTGAAAGCCCTCGAAATGTCCACTTCCAGATACTACAGAAAGAGTGTTTCAAACCTGCTCTATGAAAGGGAATGCTCAACTCTGTGACTTAAAAGCAAACATCACAGAGAAGCTTCTGAGAATGCTACTGTCTACTTTGTATATGTAATCCCGTTTCCAACGAATTCCTGAAAGCTATCCAAATATCCTCCTGCAGATTCCACGAAAAGACGGTTTCAAACCTGCTCTAAGAAAGGGAATGTTCGACTCTGTGACTTGAATGCAGATATCACAAAGTAGTTTCTGAGAGTGCTTCTGTCTAGATTTTATATGAAGATATTCCCGTTTCCAACGAAATACTTCGAGCTATCCAAATATCCCCTTGCATATTCTCCAAAAGAGTGTTTCCAAACTTCTGTATCATAAGAGAGGTTGAACTCTGTTAGTTTACGAAACACATCACAAAGAAGTTTCTGAGAATGCTTCTGTCTAGTTTTTTACGGAAGATATTTCCTTTTTCACCAAAGGCGTCAAAGCGCTCCAAATGTCCACTTCCAGATACTACAAAAAGAGTGTTTCAAACCTGCTCTAATAAAGGGAATGTTCAACTATGTGACTTGAGTGCACATATCACAAAGCAGTTTCTGAGAGTGCCTCTGTCTAGATTTTATACTAAAGTATTCCCGTTTCCAACGAAATCGTTAGAGCTATCCAAATATCCACTTGCATGTTCTACAGAAAGAGTGTTTCAATACTGCTGTATCAAAAGACAGGCTGTACTCTGTTAGCTGAGGACATACATCCCAAACCAGTTTGTGAGAATGCTTCTGTCAAGTTTGTAAGGGAAGATATTTCCTTGTTCACCATAGGCCTGAAAGCGCTCGAAATGTCCTCTTCCAGATACTACAGAAAGAGTGTTTGAAACCTGCTCCATGAAAGTGAATGTTCAACTCTGTGACTTAAAAGCAAACATCACAAAGCAGTTTCTGAGAATGCTGCTGTCTACTTTGTATATGTATTCCCGTTTCCAGCGAAATCCTCCAAGCTATCCAAATATCCTCCTGCAGATTCCACGAAAATACGGTTTCAAACTTGCTCTAAGAAAGGGAATATTCAAAACTGTGTCTTGAATACAGATATCACAAAGTAGTTTCTGAGAGTGCTTCTGTCTAGAGTTTATATGAAGCTATTCCCGTTTCCAACGAAATAGCTTGAGCTATCCAAATATCCACTTGCCGATTCTACAGAAAGTGTGTTTCCAAACTGCTGTATAAAAAGACAGGTTGTACTCTGTTACTTGAGGACAGACATCAGAAACAGTTTCTGAGAACGCCCTTGTCTAGATTTTACCTGAAGATATTCCGATTTCCAATGAAATCCTTAAAGCTTTCCAAATATCCACTTGCAGATTCTCTAATTGAGTCTTTCAAAACTGCTCTGTAAATAGAAAGGTTCAACTCTGTTAGCTGAGGACATACATCACAAACCAGTTTGTGAGAATGCTTCTGTCTAGTTTTTATGGGAAGATATTTCCTTTTGCACCGTAAGCGTCAAAGCGCTCCAAGTGTCCACATCCAGATACTACAGAAAGAGTGTTTCAAACCTGCTCTATGAAAGCGAATGTTCAACTCTGTGACGTGAATGCAGACATCACAAAGCAGTTTCTGAGAATGCTTCTGTCTCGATTTAACATGAAGATATTCCCGTTTCCAACGAAATACTTCGAGCTATCCAAATATCCCCTGGCATATTCTCCAAAAAGACTGTTTCCAAACTTCTGTATCATAAGAGAGTTTGAACTCTATTAGTTGAGGACACACATCACAAAGAAGTTTCTGAGAATGCTTCTGTCTAGTTTTTTACTGAACATATTTCCTTTTTCACCAAAGGCGTCAATTTGCTCCAAATGTCCACTTCCAGATACTACAAAAAGACGGTTTCAAACCTGCTCTAAGAAAGGGAATGTTCGACTCTGTGACTTGAATGCACATATCACAAAGTAGTTTCTGAGAGTGCTTCTGTCTAGATTTTATATGAAGATATTCCCGTTTCCAACGAAATACTTCGAGCTATCCAAATATCCCCTTGCATATTCTCCAAAAGAGTGTTTCCAAACTTCTGTATCATAACAGAGGTTGAACTCTGTTAGTTTACGAAACACATCACAAAGAAGTTTCTGAGAATGCTTCTGTCTAGTTTTTTACGGAAGATATTTCCTTTTTCACCAAAGGCGTCAAAGCGCTCCAAGTGTCCACTTCCAGATACTACAAAAAGAGTGTTTCAAACCTGCTCTAATAAAGGGAATGTTCAACTATGTGACTTGAGTGCACATATCACAAAGCAGTTTCTGAGAGTGCCTCTGTCTAGATTTTATACTAAAGTATTCCCGTTTCCAACGAAATCGTTAGAGCTATCCAAATATCCAATTGCAGATTCTAAGGAAAGAGTGTTTCAATACTGCTCTATCAAAAGACAGGCTGTACTCTGTTAGCTGAGGACATACATCCCAAACTAGTTTGTGAGAATGCTTCTGTCAAGTTTGTATGGGAAGATATTTCCTTGTTCACCATAGGCCTGAAAGCGCTCGAAATGTCCTCTTCCATATACTAGAGAAAGAGTGTTTGAAACCTGCTCTATGAAAGGGAATGTTCAACTCTGTGACTTAAAAGCAAACATCACAAAGCAGCTTCTGAGAAAGCTGCTGTCTACTTTGTATATGTAATCCCGTTTCCAACGAAATCCTCAAAGCTATCCAAATAGCCTCCTGCAGATTCCACGAAAAGATGGTTTCAAACCTGCTCTAAGAAAGGGAATATTCAACTCCGTGACTTGAATACAGATATCAAAATGTATTTTCTGATGGTGCTTTTCTCTAGAGTTTATATGAAGCTATTCCCGTTTCCAACGAAATAGCTTGAGCTATCCAAATATCCACTTGCAGATTCTACAGACAGAGTGTTTCCAAACTGCTGTATCAAAAGACAGGTTGTACTGTGTTACTTGAGGACTCACATCACAAAGCAGTTTCTGAGAATGCTTCTGTCTCGATTTTACATGAAGATATTCCCGTTTCCAACGAAATCTTCAAAGTTATCCGAATATCCACTTGCAGATTCTACAAAAAGAGTGTTTCCAAACTGCTGTATCAAAAGAAAGGTTCAACTCTGTTAGTTGAGGACACACATCACAAATAAGTTTCTGAGAATGCTTCTGTCTAGTTTTTATGGGAAGATATTTCCTTTTTCACCGTAGGCCTGAAAGCCCTCGAAATGTCCACTTCCAGATACGACAGAAAGAGTGTTTCAAACCTGCTCTATGAAAGGGAATGCTCAACGCTGTGACTTAAAAGCAAACGTCACAGAGAAGCTTCTGAGAATGCTACTGTCTAAGTTGTATATGTAATCCCGTTTCCAAAGAAATCCTGAAAGCTATCCAAATATCCACCTGCAGATTCCAAGAAAAGGCGGTTTCAAACCGGCTCTAAGAAAGGGAATGTTCGACTCTGTGACTTGAATGCAGATATCACAAAGTAGTTTCTGAGAGTGCTTCTGTCTAGATTTTATATGAAGATATTCCCGTTTCCAACGAAATACTTCGAGCTATCCAAATATCCCCTTGCATATTCTCCAGAAAGAGTATTTCCAAACTTCTGTATCATAAGAGAGGTTGAACTCTGTTAGTTGAGGACACACATCACAAAGAAGTTTCTGACAATGCTTCTTTCTAGTTGTTTAGGGAAGATATTTCCTTTTTCACCAAAGGCGTCAAAGCGCTCCAAATGTCCACTTCCAGATACTACAAAAAGAGTGTTTCAAACCTGCTGTAATAAAGGGAATGTTCAACTCTGTGACTTGAATGCACATATCACAAAGCAGTTTCTCAGAGTGCCTCTGTCTAGATTTTATACTAAGTATTCCCGTTTCCAACGAAATCGTTAGAGGTAAGCAAATATCCACTTGCAGATTCTACAGAAAGAGTGTTTCAATACTGCTGTATCAAAAGACAGGCTGCACCCTGTTAGCTGAGGACATACATCCCAAACCAGTTTGTGAGAATGCTTCTGTCAAGTTTTTATGGGAAGATATTTCCTTGTTCACCATAGTCCTGAAAGCGCTCAAATGTTCTCTTCCAGATACTACAGAAAGAATGTTTGAAACCTGCTCTATGAAAGGGAATGTTCAACTCTGAGACTTAAAAGCAAACATCACAAAATAGGTTCTGAGAATGCCGCTGTCCACTTTGTATATGTAATCCTGTTTCCAACGAAATCCTCAAAGCTATCCAATTATCGTCCTGCAGATTCCACGAAAAGATGGTTTCAAACCTGCTCTAAGAAAGGGAATATTCAACTCTGTGACTTGAATACAGATATCACAAAGTAGTTTCTGAGAGTGCTTCTCTCTAGAGTTTATATGAAGCTATTCCCGTTTCCAATGAAATAGCTTGAGTTATCCAAATATACACTTGCATATTCTACAGAAAGAGAGTTTCCAAACTGCTGTATCAAAAGACAGGTTGTACTATGTTACTTGAGGACACACATCACAAAGAAGTTTCTGAGAATGCCCTTGTCTAGATTTTACCTGAAGATATTCCGGTTTCCAAAGAAATCCTTAAAGCCTTCCAAATATCCACTTGCAGATTCTCCAATTGAGTCTTTCAAAACTGGTCTGTAAATAGAAAAATTCAACTCTCTTAGCTGAGGACATACATCACAAACCAGTTTGTGAGAATGCTTCTGTCTAGTTTTTATGGGAAGATATTTCCTTTTGCACCGTAAGAGTCAAAGCGCTCCAAGTGTCCACATCCAGATACTACAGTAAGAGTGTTTCAAACCTGCTCTATGAAAGCGAATGTTCAACTCTGTGACGTGAATGCAGACATCACAAAGCAGTTTCTGAGAATGCTTCTGTCTCGATTTTACATGAAGATATTCCCGTTTCCAACGAAATCTTCAAAGTTATCCGAATATCCACTTGCAGATTCTACAAAAAGAGTGTTTCCAAACTGCTGTATCAAAAGAGAGGTTCAAATCTGTTAGTTGAGGACACACATCACAAATAAGTTTCTGAGAATGCTTCTGTCTAGTTTTTATGGGAAGATATTTCCTTTTTCACCATAGGCCAGAAAGCCCTCGAAATGTCCCCTTCCAGATACCACAGAAAGAGTGTTTCAAACCTGCTCTATGAAAGGGAATGCTCAACTCTGTGACTTAAAAGCAAACATCACAGAGAAGCTTCTGAGAATGCTACTGTCTAATTTGTATATGTAATCCCGTTTCCAAAGAAATCCTGAAAGCTATCCAAATATCCACCTGCAGATTCCAAGAAAAGTCGGTTTCAAATCGGCTCTAAGAAAGGGAATGTTCGACACTGTGGCTTGAATGCAGATATCACAAAGTAGTTTCTGAGACTGCTTCTGTCTAGATTTTATATGAAGATATTCCCGTTTCCAACGAAATACTTCGAGCTATCCAAATATCCCCTTGCATATTCTTCAAAAAGAGTGTTTCCAAATTTCTGTATCATAAGAGAGGTTGAACTCTGTTAGTTGAGGACACACATCACAAAGAAGTTTCTGAGAATGCTTCTGTCTACTTGTTTAGGGAAGATATTTCCTTTCTCACCAAAGGCGTCAAAGCGCTCCAAATGTCCACTTCCAGATACTACAAAAAGAGTGTTTCAAACCTGCTCTAATACAGGGAATGTTCAACTCTGTGACTTGAATGCACATATCACAAAGCAGTTTCTGAGAGTGCCTCTGTCTAGATTTTATACTACAGTATTCCCGTTTCCAATGAAATCGTTAGAGCTATCCAAATATCCACTTGCAGATTCTACAGAAAGAGTGTTTCAATACTGCTGTATCAAAAGACAGGTTGTACTCTGTTAGCTGAGGACATACATCCCAAACCAGTTTGTGAGAATGCTTCTGTCAAGTTTGTACGGGAAGATATTTCCTTGTTCACCATATGCCTGAAAGCGCTCGAAATGTCCTCTTCCAGATACTACAGAAAGAGTGTTTGAAACCTGCTCTATGAAAGGGAATGTTCAACTCTGTGACTTAAAAGCAAACATCACAAAGCAGCTTCTGAGAATGCTGCTGTCTACTTTGTATATGTAATCCGGTTTCCAACGAAATCCTCAAAGCTATCCAAATATCCTCCTGCAGATTCCACGAAAAGACGGTTTCAAACCTGATCTAAGAAAGGGAATATTCAACTCTGTGACTTGAATACAGATATCACAAATTAGTTACTGAGAGTGCTTCTGTCTAGAGTTTATATGAAGATATTCCCGTTTCCAAAGAAATAGCTTGAGCTATCCAAATATCCACTTGCAGATTTTACAGAAAGAGTGTTTCCAAACTACTGTATCAAAAGACAGGTTGTACTCTGTTACTTGAGGACACACATCACAAAGAAGTTTCTGACAATGCCCTTGTCTAGATGTTACCTGAAGATATTCCGATTTCCAATGAAATCCTTAAAGCTTTCCAAATATCCACATGAAGATTCTCCAATTGAGTCTCTCAAAACTGCTCTGTAAATAGAAAGGTTCAACTCTGTTAGCTGAGGACATACATCACAAACCAGTTTGTGAGAATGCTTCTGTCTAGTTTTTATGGGAAGATATTTCCTTTTGCACCGTAAGCGTCAAAGCGCTCCAAGTGTCCACATCCAGATACTACAGAAAGAGTGTTTCAAACCTGCTCTATGAAAGCGAATGTTCAACTCTGTGACGTGAATGCAGACATCACAAAGCAGTTTGTGAGAATGCTTCTGTCTCGATCTTACATGAAGATATTCCCGCTTCCAACGAAATGTTCAAAGTTATCCAAATATCCACTTGCAGATTCTACAAAAAGAGTGTTTCCAAACTGCTGTATCAAAAGAAAGGTTCAACTCTGTTAGTTGAGGACACACATCACAAATAAGTTTCTGAGAATGCTTCCGTCTAGGTTTTATGGGAACATATTTCCTTTTTCACCATAGGCCTGAAAGCCCTCGAAATGTCCACTTCCAGATACTACAGAAAGAGTGTTTCAAACCTGCTCTATGAAAGGGAATGCTCAACTCTGTGACTTAAAAGCAAACATCTCAGAGAAGCTTCTGAGAATGCTACTGTCTACTTTGTATATGTAATCCCGTTTCCAACGAAATCCTGGAAGCTATGCAAATATCCACCTGCAGATTCCAAGAAAAGACGGTTTCAAACCGGCTCTAAGAAAGGGAATGTTCCACTCTGTGACTTGAATGCAGATATCACAAAGTAGTTTCTGAGAGTGCTTCTGTCTAGATTTTATATGAAGATATTCCCGTTTAAAACGAAATACTTCGAGCTATCCCAATATCCCCTGGCATATTCTCCAAAAAGAGTGTTTCCAAACTTCTGTATCATAATAGTGGTTGAACTCTGTTAGTTGAAGACACACATCACAAAGAAGTTTCTGAGAATGCTTCTGTCTAGTTGTTTAGGGAAGATATTTCCTTTTTCACCAAAGGCGTCAAAGCACTCCAAATGTCCACTTCCAGATACTACAAAAAGAGTGTTTCAAACCTGCTCTAATAAAGGGAATGTTCAACTCTGTGACTTGAATGCACATATCAAAAAGCAGTTTCTGAGAGTGCCTCTGTCTAGATTTTATACTAAAGTATTCCCGTTTCCAAAGAAATCGTTAGAGCTATCCAAATATCCACTTGCAGATTCTACAGAAAGAGTGTTTCAATACTGCTGTATCAAAAGACAGGCTGTACTCTGTTAGCTGAGGACATACATCCCAAACCAGTTTGTGAGAATGCTTCTGTCAAGTTTGTATGGGAATATATTTCCTTGTTCACCATACGCCTGAAAGCGCTCGAAATATCCTCTTCCAGATACTACAGAAAGAGTGTTTGAAACCTGCTCTATGAAAGTGAATGTTCCACTCTGTGACTTAAAAGCAAACATCACAAAGCAGCTTCTGAGAATGCTGCTGTCTACTTTGTATATGTAATCCCGTTTCCAACGAAATCCTCAAAGCTATCGAAATATCCTCCTGCAGATTCCACGAAAAGACGGTTTCAAACCTGCTTTACGAAAGGGAATATTCAACTCTGTGACTTGAATACAGATATCACAAAGTAGTTTCTGAGAGTGCTTCTCTCTAGGGTTTATATGAAGCTATTCCCGTTTCCAACGAAATAGCATGAGCTATCCAAATATCCACTTGCAGATTCTACAGAAAGGGTGTTTCCAAACTACTGTATCAAAAGACAGGTTGTACTCTGTTACTTGAGGACACACATCACAAAGAAGTTTCTGAGAATGCCCTTGTCTAGATTTTACCTGAAGATATTCCGGTTTCCAATTGAAACCTTAAAGCTTTCCAAATATCCACTTGCAGATTCTCCAATTGAGTCTTTCAAAACTGCTCTGTAAATAGAAAGGTTCAACTCTGTTAGCTGAGGACATACATCACAAACCAGTTTGTGAGAATGCTTCTGTCTAGTTTTTATGGGAAGATATTTCCTTTTGCACCGTAAGCGTCAAAGCGCTCCAAGTGTCCACATCCAGATACTGCAGAAAGAGTGTTTCAAACCTGCTCTATGAAAGCGAATCTTCAACTCTGTGATGAGAATGCAGACATCACAAAGCAGTTTCTGAGAATACTTCTCTCTCGATTTTACATGAAGATATTCCCGTTTCCAACGAAATCTTCAGAGTTATCCAAATATCGACTTGCAGATTCTACAAAAAGAGTGTTTCCAAACTGCTGTATCAAAAGAAAGGTTCAAATCTGTTAGTTGAGGACACACATCACAAATAAGTTTCTGAGAATGCTTCTGTCTAGTTTTTATGGGAAGATATTTCCTTTTACAGCATAGGCCTGAAAGTCCTCGAAATGACCACTTCCAGATACTACAGAAAGAGTGTTTCAAACCTGCTCTATGAAAGGGAATGCTCAACTCTGTGACTCAAAAGCAAACATCACAGAGAAGCTGCTGAGAATGCTACTGTCTACTTTGTATAAGTAATCCCGTTTCCAACGAAATCCTGAAAGCTATCCAAATATCCACCTGCAGATTCCAAGAAAAGACCGTTTCAAATCTGCTCTAAGAAAGGGAATATTCAACTCTGTGACTTGAATGCAGATATCACAAAGTAGTTTCTGAGAGTGCTTCTGTCTAGATTTTATATGAAGATATTCCCGTTTCCAACGAAATACTTCGAGCTATCCAAATATCCCCTTGCATATTCTACAAAAAGAGTGTTTCCAAACTTCTGTAACATAAGAGTGGTTGAACTCTGTTAGTTGAGGACACACATCACAAAAAGTTTCTGAGAATGCTTCTCTCTAGTTTTTTAAGGAAGATATTTCCTTTTTCCCCAAAGGCCTAAAAGCGCTGCAAATGTCCACTTCCCAGATACTATAAAAAGAGTGTTTCAAACCTGCTCTATGAAAGGGAATGCTCAACTCTGTGACTTGAAAGCGCACATCACAAAGAAGCTTCTGAGAATGCTACAGTCTAATTTGTATATGTAATCCCGTTTCCAAAGAAATCCTGAAAGCTATCCAAATATCCACCTGCAGATTCCAAGAAAAGACGGTTTCAAACCGGCTCTAAGAAAGGGAATGTTCGACTCTGTGACTTGAATGCAGATATCACAAAGTAGTTTCTGAGAGTGCTTCTGTCTAGATTTTATATGAAGGTATTCCCTTTTCCAACGAAATACTTCGAGCTATCCAAATATCCCCTGGCATATTCTCCAAAAAGAGTGTTTCCAAACTTCTGTATCATAAGAGAGGTTGAACTCTGTTAGTTGAGGACACACATCACAAAGAAGTTTCTGAGAATGCTTCTGTCTAGTTGTTTAGGGAAGATATTTCCTTTTTCACCAAAGGCGTCAAAGCGCTCCAAATGTCCACTTCCAGATACTACAAAAAGAGTGTTTCAAACCTGCTCTAATACAGGGAATGTTCAACTCTGTGACTTGAATGCACATATCACAAAGCAGTTTCTGAGAGTGCCTCTGTCTAGATTTTATACTAAAGTATTCCCGTTTCCAACGAAATCGTTAGAGCTATCCAAATATCCACTTGCAGATTCTACAGAAAGAGTGTTTCAATACTGCTGTATCAAAAGACAGGCTGTACTCTGTTAGCTGAGGACATACATCCCAAACCAGTTCGTGAGAATACTTCTGTCAAGTTTCTATGGGAAGATATTTCCTTGTTCACCATAGGCCTGAAAGCGCTCGAAATGTCCTCTTCCAGATACTACAGAAAGAGTGTTTGAAACCTGCTCTATGAATGTGAATGTTCCACTCTGTGACTTAAAAGCAAACATCACAAAGCAGCTTCTGACAATGCTGCTGTCTACTTTGTAAATGTAATCCCGTTTCCAACGAAATCCTCAAATCTATCCAAATATCCTCCTGCAGATTCCACGAAAAGACGGTTTCAAATCTGCTCTAAGAAAGGGAATATTCAACTCTGTGACTTGAATACAGATATCACAAAGTAGTTTCTGAGAGTGCTTCTGTCTAGGGTTTATATGAAGATGTTCCCGTTTCCAACGAAATAGCTTGAGCTATCCAAATATCCACTTGCAGATTCTACAGAAAGGGTGTTTCCAAACTGCTGTATCAAAAGACAGGTTGTACTCTGTTACTTGAGGACACACATCACAAAGAAGTTTCTGAGAATGCCCTTGTCTAGATTTTACCTGAAGATATTCCGGTTTCCAATTGAAACCTTAAAGCTTTCCAAATATCCACTTGCAGATTCTCCAATTGAGTCTTTCAAAAGTGCTCTGTAAATAGAAAGGTTCAACTCTGTTAGCTGAGGACATACATCACAAACCAGTTTATGAGAATGCTTCTGTCTAGTTTTTATGGGGAGATA
>NC_000018.10:20603247-20625037 GCF_000001405.40 Homo sapiens
AGCATTCGCTGAAACTTCTTTGTGATGTGTGTCCTCAACTAACAGAGTTGAACCTTTCTATTTACAGAACAGTTTTCAAAGACTCTTTTTGGAGAATCTGCAAGTGGATATTGGGATAGCTTTAAGGATTTCATTGGAAACCGGAATATCTTCAGGTAAAATCTAGCCAGAGGCATTCTCGGAAACTTCTTCGTGATGTGCGTCCTCAACTAACAGAGTACAACCTGTCTTTTGATACATCAGTTTGGAAACACTCTTTTTGTAGAATCTGCAAGAGGATATTTGGATAGCTCTAGCGATTTCGATGGATACGGGAATACCTTCATATGAAATCTAGACAGAGGCACTCTCAGAAACTGCTTTGTGATATCTGCATTCAAGTCACAGAGTTGAACATTCCCTTTCTTAGAGCAGGTTTGAAACTCTCTTTTTGTAGTATCTGGAAGTGGACACTTGGAGCGCTTTGACGCCTTTGGTGAAAAAGGAAATGTCTTCCCATAAAAACTAGACAGAAGCATTCTAAGAAACTTCTTTGGGATATATGTACTCAACTAACAGAGTTGAACCTTTCTATTTAGAGATCAGTTTTAAAAAGCTCTTTTTGTGGAATCCGCAAGTGGATATTAGAATAGCTCTGAGGATTTCGTTGGAGACGGGATTACGTATAAAAAGTAGACAGCAGCATTCTCAAAAGCTTCTTTGTGATCTTTGCTTTTAAATCGCAGAGTTCAATATTCCCTTCCGTAGAGAAGGTTTGAAACACTCTTTCTGTAGTATCTGGAAGTGGACATTTCGAGCGATTTCAGGCCTGTGTTGAAAAAGGAAATATCTTCCAATAAAAACTAGACGGAAGCATTCTCAAAAATTTCTTTGTGATGTGCGTCCTCAACTAACAGAGTTCATCCTTTCTTATGATACAGCAGTTTATAAACACTCTTTTTGTAGAATCTGCAAGTGGATATTTGCATAGCTCTAACCATTTCATAGGAAACGGGAATACCTTCATATAAAATCTAGACAGAGGCACCCTCAGAAACTGCTTTGTGATATCTGCATTCAAGTCACAGAGTTGAACATTCCCTTTCTTAGAGCAGGTTTGAGACAATCTATTTGTAGTATCTGGTAGTGGACATTTGGAGCGCTTTGACGCCTTTGGTGAAAAAGGAAATATCTTCCATAAAAACTAGACAGAAGCATTCCAAGAATCTTCCTTGCGATATATGTACTCAACTACCAGAGTTGAACCTTTCTATTGATAGATCAGTTTTGAAAAGCTCTTTTTGTGGAATCTGCAATTGGATATAAGGATAGTTCTGAGGATTTCGTTGGAGACGGGATTGCATATAAAAAGTAGACAGCAGCATTCTCAGAAGCTTCTTTGTGATGTTTGCTTTTAAGTCACAGAGTTGAATATTCCCTTCCATAGAGCAGGTTTGAAACCCTCTTTGTCTACTATCTGGAAGTGGACATTTCGAGCGCTTTCAGGCCTATGGTGAACAAGGAAATATCGTCCCATAAAAACTAGACAGAAGCATTCGCAGAAACTTGTTTGTGATGTGTGTCCTCATCTCACAGAGGTGACCATTTCGTTTGACAGAGCAGTTTGGAAACACGCTTTTTGCAGAATACGCAAGTGGATATTTGGATAGCTGTAACGATTTCGTTGGATACGGGAATAACTTCATATAAATTCTAGACAGAGGCACTCTCAGAAACTGCTTTTTGATATCTGCATTCAAGTCACGGAGTTGAACATTCTCTTTCTTAGAGCAGGTTTGAAACACTCTTTTTGTAGTATCTGGAAGTGGACATTTGGAGGGCTTTGACACCTTTGGTGAAAAAGGAAATGTCTTCCCATAAAAACTAGACAGAAGCATTCTAACAAACTTCTTTGTGATGTATGTACTCAACCAACAGAGTTGAACTTTTCTATTTATAGATCAGTTTTCAAACACTCCTTTTGTGGAATGTGCAAGTGGATAATTGGATAGCTTTGAGGATTTCGTTAGAAACGGTACGACATAAAAAAGAAGACAGCAGCATTCTCAGAAGCGTCTTTGTGATGTTTGCTTTTAAGTCACAGAGTTGAATTTTCCCTTCCATAGAGCAGGTTTGAAACAATCTTTCTGTAGTATCTGGAAGTGGACATTTCGAGCGCTTTCAGGCCTATGTTGAAAAATTAAATATCTTCTCATAAAAACTATACAGAAGCATTCTCAGAAACGTCTTTGTGATGTGTGGCCTCAACTAACAGAGTTCAACCTTTCTTATGATACAGCAGTTTGGAAACACTCTTTTTGTAGAATATGCAATTGGATATTTGGATAGCTCTAAGTATTTCGTTGGAGACGGGAATATCTTCATATAAAATCTAGACAGAAGCACTCTCAGAAACTACTTTGTGATATCTGCATTCAAGTCACAGAGTTGAAAATTCCCTTTCTTAGACCAGGTTTTAAACCGTCTTCTCGTGGAATCTGCAGGAGGATATTTCGATAGCCTTGAGGGTTTAGTTGGAAACGGGATTACATATACAAAGTAGACAGCAGCATTCTCAGAAGCTTCTTTGTGATGTTTGCTTGTAAGTCACAGAGTTGAACATTCTCTTTCATAGAGCAGGTTTGAAACACTCTTCCTGTAGTATCTGGAAGTGGACATTTCGAGCGCTTTCAGGCCTATGGTGAACAAGGAAATATCTTCCCATAAAAACTAGATAGAAGCATTCGCAGAAACTTCTTTGTGATGTGTGTCCTCAACTCACAGAGTCGAACATTTCGTTTGACAGAGCAGTTTGGAAACACGCTTTTTGTAGAATCTGCAAGTGGATATTTGGATAGCTTTGCGGATTTTGCTTGAAACGGGAGTATCTTCCTATTAAACCTAGACAGAAACATTCTCAGAAACTGCTTTGTGATGTCTGCATTCACGTCACGGAGTTGAACATTCCCTTTCATAGAGCAGGTTTGAAACTCCCTTTCTGTAGTATCTGGATGTGGACACTTGGAGGGCTTTGACGCTTACGGTGAAAAAGGAAATATGTTCCCATGAAAACTAGACAGAAGCATTCTCACAAACTGGTTTGTGATGTATGTCCTCAACTAACAGACTTGAACCTTTCTATTTACAGAGCAGTTTTGAAAGACACTTTTTGGAGACTCTGCAAGTGGATATTTGGAGAGCTTTAAGGATTTCACTGGAAACCGGAATATCTTGAGGAAAAATCTAGACAGAGGCATTCTCAGAAACTTCTTTGTGATGTGTGTCCTCAACTAACAGAGTACAACTTGTCTTCTGATACAGCAGTTTCAAAACACTCTTTTTGTAGAAACTCCAAGAGGATATTTCGATAGCTCTAACGGTTTCGTTGGAAACCGGAATACCTTCATATAAAATTTAGCAGAGGCACTCTCAGAAACTGCTTTGTGATATCTGCATTCAAGTCACAGAGTTGAACATTCCCTTTCTTAGAGCAGGTTTGAAACACCCTTTTTGTAGTATCTGGAAGTGGACATTTGGAGCGCTTTGACGCCTCTGGTGAAAAAGGAAAGGTCTTCCCATAAAAACTAGACAGAAGCATTCTAAGGAACTTCTTTGGGATATATGTACTCAACTAACACAGTTGAACCTTTCTATTTATAGATCAGTTTTGAAAAGCTCTTTTTGTGGAATCCGCATGTGGATATTAGGATAGCACTGAGGATTTCGTTGGAGACGGGATTACGTATAAAAAGTAGACAGCAGCATTCTCAGAAGCTTCTTTGTGATGTTTGCTTTTAAATCGCAGAGTTCAATATTCCCTTCCATAGAGCAGGTTTGAGACACTCTTTCTGTAGTATCTGGAAGTGGACATTTCGAGCGATTTCAGGCCTATGTTGAAAAAGGAAATATCTTCCAATAAAAATTAGACGGAAGCATTCTCAAAAATTTCTTTGTGATGTGTGTCCTCAACTAACAGGGTTCAACCTTTCTTTTGATACAGCAGTTTGTAAACACTCTTTTTGTAGAATCTGCATGTGGATATTTGGATAGCTCTAACCATTTCATAGGAAACGAGAATAACTTCATATAAAATCTAGACAGAAGCACTCTCAGAAACTACTTTGTGATATCTGCATTCAAGTCACAGAGTTGAACATTCCCTTTCTTAGAGCAGGTTTGAAAACTCATTTTGTAGAATCTGGAAGTGGACATTTGGAGCGCTTTGACGCCTTTGGTGAAAAAGGAAATGTCTTCCGATAAAAACTAGACAGAAGCATTCTAAGAAACTTCTTGGCGATATATGTACTCACCTAACAGAGTTGAACCTTTCTATTGATAGATCAGTTTCGAAAAGCTCTTTTTGTGGAATCTGCAATTGGATATAAGGATAGTTCTGAGGATTTCGTTGGAGACGGGATTGCATATAAAAAGTAGACAGCAGCATTCTCAGAAGCTTCTTTGTGATGTTTGCTTTTAAGTCACAGAGTTGAATATTCCCTTCCATAGAGCAGGTTTGAAACCCTCTTTCTCTACTATCTGGAAGTGGACATTTCGAGCGCTTTCAGGCCTATGGTGAACAAGGAAATATCGTCCCATAAAAACTAGACAGAAGCATTCGCAGAAACTTGTTTGTGATGTGTGTCCTCATCTCACAGAGGTGACCATTTCGTTTGACAGAGCAGTTTGGAAACACGCTTTTTGCAGACTACGCAAGTGGATATTTGGATAGCTGTAACGATTTCGTTGGATACGGGAATAACTTCATATAAATTCTAGACAGAAACATTCTCAGAAACCGCTTTGTGATGTCTGCATTCACGTCACAGAGTTGAACATTCCCTTTCATAGAGCAGGTTTGAAACACTCTTTCTGTAGTATCTGGATGTGGACACTTGGAGCACATTGACGCTTACGGTAAAAAAGGAAATATCTTCCCATAAAAACTAGACAGAAGCATTCTCACAAACTGGTTTGTGATGTATGTCCTCAACTAACAGCGTTGAACCTTTCTATTTACAGAGCAGTTTTGAAAGACTCTTTTTGGAGAATCTGTAAGCGGATATTTGGAGAGCTTCAAGGATTTCATTTTAAACCGTAATATCTTCAGGTAAAATCTAGCCAGAGGCATTCTCAGAAACTTATTTATGATGTGTGTCCTCAACTAACAGAGTACAACCTATCTTTTGATACAGCAGTTTGGAAACACTCTTTTTGTAGAATCTGCAAGTGGATATTTCGATAGCTGTAACGATTTCGTTGGAAATGGGAATACCTTCATATAAAATCTAGAGAGGCACTCTCCGAAAGTGCTTTGAGCTATCTGCTTTCAAGTCACAGAGTTGAACATTCCCTTTCTTAGAGAAGGTTTGAAACACTCTTTTTGTAGTATGTGTAAGTGGACACTTAGACCGCTTCGACCCCTTTGGTGAAAAAGGAAATGTCTTCCCATAAAAACTAGACAGAAGCATTCTAAGAAACTTCTTTGGGATATATGTACTCAACTAACAGAGTTGAACCTTTCTATTTCTGGGTCAGTTTTGAGAAGCTCTTTTTCTGTAATCTGCAAGTGGATATTCGGATAGCTCTGAGGATTTCCTTGGAAACGGGATTTCATATAAAATATAGACAGCAGCATTCTCAGAAGCTTCTTTGTGATGGTTGCTTTTAAGTCACAGAGTTGAATATTCCCTTCCATAGAGCAGGATTGAAACACTCTTTCTGTAGTATCCGGAAGTGGACATTTCGGGCGATTTCAGTCCTATGTTGAAAAAGGAAATATCATCCCATAAAAACTAGACAGAAGCACTCTCGGAAACTACTTTGTGATATCTGCATTCAAGTCACAGAGTTGAACATTCCCTTTCTTAGAGCAGGTTTGAAACACTCTTTTTGTAGTATCTGGAAGTGGACATTTGGAGTGCTTTGATGCCTTTTGTGAAAAAGGAAATGTCTTCCCATAAAAACTAGACAGAACCATTCTAAGAAACTTCTTTGTGATGTATGTACTCAACTAACAGAGTTGAACGTTTCTATTTATAGATCAGTTTTGAAACACTCTTTTTCTGGAATCTGCAAGTGGATATTTGGATAGCATTGAGGATTTCGTTGGAAACGGGATTACACATAAAAAGTAAACAGCAGCATTCTCAGAAGCTACATTGTGATGTTTGCTTTTAAGTCACAGAGTTGAACATTCCCTTTCATAGAGCAGGATTGAAACACTCTTTCTGTAGTATCTGCAAGTGGACATTTCGAGTGCTTTCTGGCCTAAGGTGAAAAAGGAAATATCTTCCCATAAAAACTAGACAGAAGCATTCGCAGAAACTTGTTTGTGATATGTATCCTCAACTATCAGAGTTGAACATTTCATTTGACAGAGCAGTTTGGAAACACGCTTTTTGTAGAATCTGCAAGTGGATATTTGGATAGCTTTGTGGATTTCCTTGGAAACGGGAGTATCTTCATATAAAACCTAGACAGAAACATTCTCAGAAACTGCTATATGATGTCTGCATTCACGTCACAGAGTTGATCATTCCCTTTCATAGAGCAGGTTTGAAACACTCTTTCTGTACTATCTGGATGTGGACACTTGGAGCGCTTTGACGCTTAAGGTGCAAAAGAAATATCTTCCCATAAAAACTAGACAGAAGCATTCTCACAAACTGGATTGTGATGTTTGTCCTCAACTAACAGAGTTGAAACATTTTATTTGCAGAGCAGTTTTGAAAGACTGTTTTTGGAGAATCTTCAAGTGGATATTTGGAGAGCTTTAAGGAATTCATTGGAAACGGGAATATCTTCATATAAAATCTAGACAGAGGCATTCTCAGAAACTTCTTTGTGATGTGTGTCCTCAACTAACGGCGGTACATCCTGTCTTTTGATACAGCAGTTTGGAAACACTCTTTTTGTAGAATCTGCCAGTGGATATTTGCATAGCTCTAATGATTTCTTTGGAAACGGGAATACCTTCATATAAAATCTAGACAGAGGCACTCTCAGAAACTGCTTTGTGATATCTGCATTCAAGTCACACAGTTCAACATTCCCTTTCTTAGAGCAGGTTTGAAACACTCTTTTTGCAGGATCTGGAAGTGGACATTTGGAGCGCTTTGACGCCTTTGGTGATAAAGGAAATGTCTTCACATAAAAACTAGAAAGAAGCATTCTAAGAAACATCTTTGTGATATATGTACTCAACTAACCGAGTTGAACCTTGCTCTTTATAGATCAGCTTTTTAATGCTCTTTTTGTGGAATCTGCAAGTGGATATTTGGATAGCTTTCAGGATTTCGTTGGAAACGGGATTACAAACAAAATGTAGACAGCAGCATTCTCAGAAACTTCTTTGTGATGTTTGCTTTTAAGTCACAGAGTTGAACATTCCCTTCCATAGAGCAGTTTAGAAACACTCTTTCTATAGTATCTGGAAGTGGACATTTCGAGCGATTTCAGGCCTATGTTGAAAAACGAAATATCTTCCCATAAAAACTAGACAGTAGCATACTCAGAAGCTTCTTTGTGATGCTTGCTTTTAAGTCACAGAGTTGAACATTCCCTTTCGTAGAGCAGGTTTCAGACACTCTTTCTGTAGTATCTGGAAGTGGACATTTCGAGTGTTTTCAGGCCTATGGTGAACAAGGAAATATCTTCCCATAAAAACCAGACACAAGCATTTGCAGAAACTTGTTTGTGATGCGTGTCCTCAACTCACAGAATAGAACATTTCGTTTGACAGAGCAGCTTGGAAACACGCTTTTTGTAGAATCTGCAAGTGGATATTTGGATAGCTTTGTGGATTTCGTTGGAAACGGGAGAATCTCCATATAAAACCTAGACAGAAACATTCTCAGAAACTGCTTTGTGATGTCTGCATTCACGTTACAGAGTTGAATATTCCCCTTCATAGAGCAGGTTTGATACACTCTTTCTGTAGTATCTGGATGTGGACACTTGGAGCGCTTTGACGCTTACAGTGAAAAAGGAAATATCTTCCCATAAAAACTAGACAGAAGCATTCTCACAAACTGGTTTGTGATGTATGTCCTCATCTAACAGAGTTGAACTTTTCTATTTACAGAGCAGTTTTGAAAGACTCTTTTTGGAGAATCTGCAAGTGGATATTTCGAGAGCTTTAAGGATTTCACTGGAAACCCGAATATCTTCAGGTAAAATCTAGACAGAGGCATTCTCAGAAACCTCTTTGTGATGTGTGTCCTCAACTAACAAAGTACTACCTGGCTTTTGATACAGCAGTTTGGAAACACTCTTTTTGTACAATCTGCAAGTGGATATTTGGATAGCTCTAAAGATTTCGTAGGAAACGGGAATACCTTCATATAAAATCTAGACAGAGGCTCTCTCAGAAACTGCTTTGTGGAATCTGCATTCAAGTCACAGAGTTGAACATTTCCTTTCATAAAGCAGGTTTGAAACACTCTTTTTGTAGTATCTGGAAGTGGACATTTGGAGGGCTTTGACGCCTTTGGTGAAAAAGGAAATGTCTTCCCATCAAAACTAGAATGTAGCATTCTAAGAAACTTCTTTGGGATAGATGTACTCAACTAACACAGTTGAACCTTTCTCTTTATAGATCAGTTTGGAAAAGCTCTTTTTGTGGAATCTGCAAATGGATATTAGGATAGCTCTGAGGATTTCATTGGAGACGGGATTACATATAAAAAGTAGACAGCAGCATTCTCAGGAGCTTCTTTGTGATGTTTGCTTTTAAGTTACAGAGTTGAATATTCCTTTCCATAGAGCAGGTTTGAAACACTCTTTCTGTAGTATCTGGAAGTGGACACTTCGAGCGATTTCAGCCCTTTGAGGAAAAAGGAAATATCTTCCCATAAAAACTAGACAGAAGCATTCTCAGAAACTTCTTTGTGATGTGTGTCCTCAACTAACAGAGTTCAACCTCTCTTATGATACAGCAGTTTGGAAACACTCTTTTTGTAGAATATGCAACTGGATATTTGGAGAGCTCTAACTATTTTGTTGGTAACGGGAATATCTTCATATAAAATCTAGACAGAAGCACTCTCAGAAACTACATTGTGATACCTGCATTCAAGTCACAGAGTTGAATATTCCCTTTCTTAGAGCAGGTTTGAAACCGTCTTTTCGTGGAATCTGCAGGGGGATATTTGGATAGCTTTGAGGATTTCGCTGGAAACGGGATTACATGTACAAAGTAGACAGCAGCATTCTCAGAAGCTTCTTTGTGATGTTTGCTTTTAAGTCACAAAGTTGAAAATTCCCTTTCATAGAGGAGGTTTCAAACACTCTTTCTGTAGTATCTGGAAGTGGACACTTCGAGCACTTTCAGGCCTATGGTGAAAAAGGAAATATCTTCCCATAAAAGCAATACAGAAGCATTCGCAGAAACTTGTTTGTAATGTGTGTCCTCAACTCACAGAGTTGAACATTTCGTTCGAGAGATCAGTTTGGAAACACTCTTTTTGTAGAATCTGAAAGTGGATATTTGGATAGCTTTGTGGATTTCGATGGAAACGGGAGTATCTTCATACAAAACCTAAGCAGAAATATTCTAAGAAACTGCTTTGTGATATCTGCATTCACGTCACAGAGTTGAACATTCCCTTTGATAGAGCAGGTTTGAAACACTCTTTCTGTAGTGTCTGGATGTGGACACTTTGAGCGCTTTGACGCTTACGGTGAAAAAGGAAATATCTTCCCATAAAAACTAGAGAGAAGCATTCTCAAAAACTAGTTTGTGATGTATTTCCTCAACTAACAGAGTTGAACCTTTCTATTTACAGAGTAGTTTTGAAAGACTCTTTTTGGAGAATCTACAAGTGGATATTTGAGAGCTTTAAGGATTTCATTGTAAACCGGAATATCTTCAGGTAAACTCTAGACAGAGGCATTCTCAGAAACTTCTTTGTGATGTGTGTCCTCAACTAACAGAGTTCAGCCTTTGTTATGATACAGCAGTTTGGAAACACTCTTTTTGTACTATCAGGAAGTGGACTTTTGGAGCGCTTTGACACCTTTGGTGATAAAGAGATGTCTTCCCATAAAAACCAGACGGAAGCATTCTAAGAGAATTCTTTGGGATATAAGTACTCAACTAACAGAGTTGAACCTTTCTATTTATAGATCAGTCTTGAAAAGCTCTTTTCGTGGAATCTGCAAGTGAATCTTAGGATAGCTCTGAGGATTTCGTTGGAAATCGGATTACATATAAAAAGTAGACAGCAGCATTCTCAGAAACTTCTTTGTGATGTTTGCTTTTAAGTCACAGAGTTCAATATTCCCTTCCATAGAGCCGGTTTGAAACACTTTTTTTGTAGTATCTGGAAGTGGACATTTCGAGCGATTTCAGGCCTATGTTGAAAAAGGAAACATCTTCCCATAAAAAAAGACAGAAGCATTCTCAGAAACTTCTTTGTGATGTGTGTCCTCAACTAACAGAGTTCAACCTCTCTTATAATACAGCAGTTTGAAAAAACACTTTTTGTAGAATATGCAAGTGGATATTTGAACAGCTCTAACTATTTCGTTCGAAATGGGAATATCTTCATATAAAATCTAGACAGAAGCACTCTCAGAAACTACATTGTGATATCAGTATTCAAATCACAGAGTTGAATATTCCCTTTCTTAGAGCAGGTTTGAAACCGTCTTTTCGTGGAAGCTGCAGGAGGATATTTGGATAGTTTTGAGGATTTCGTTGGAAACGGGATTACATATACAAAGTAGACAGCAACATTCTCAGAAGCTTCTTTGTGATGTTTGCTTCTAAGTCACAGAGTTGAACATTCCCTTTCATACAGCAGGTTTGAAACACTCTTTCTGTAGTATCTGGAAGTGGACATTTCGAGCGCTTTCAGGCCCATGGTGAAAAAGGAAATATCTCCCCATAAAAACTAGACAGAAGCATTCGCAGAAACTTGTTTGTGATGTGTGTCCTCAACCAACAGAGTTGAACATTTCCTGTGACAGAGCAGTTTGGAAACACGCTTTTTGTAGAATCTGCAAGTGGATATTTGGATAGCTTTGTGGATTTCCTTGGGAACGGGAGTATCTTCATATAAAACCTAGACGGAAACATTCTCCGAAACTCCTTTGTAATGTCTGCATTCACGTCACAGAGTTGAACATTCCCTTTCATAGAGCAGGTTTGAAACACTCTTTCTGAAGTATCTGGATGTGGACACTTGGAGCGCTTTGACGCTTACGGTGAAAAAAGGAATAACTTCCCATGAAAACTAGACAGAAGCATTCTCACAAACTGGTTTGTGATGTATGTCCTCAACTAACAGAGTTGAACCTTTCTATTTACAGAGCAGTTTTCAAAGACTCTTTTTGGAGAATCTGCAAGTGGATATCTGGAGATCTTTAAGGATTTCACTGGAAACCGGAATATCTTCAGGTAAAATCTAGACAGAAGCATTCTCACAAACTGGTTTGGGATGTATGTCCTCAGCTAACAGAGTACAACCTGTCTTTTGATACAGCAGTATTGAAAGACTCTTTCTGTAGAATCTGCAAGTGGATATTTGGATAGCTCTAACGATTTCGTTGGAAACGGGAATACTTTAATATAAAATCTAGACAGAGGCACTCTCAGAAACTGCTTTGTGATATCTGCATTCAAGTCACAGAGTTGAACATTCCCTTTCTTAGAGCAGGTTTGAAACTCTCTTTTTGTAGTATCTGGAAGTGGACACTTGGAGCGCTTTGACGCCTTTGGTGAAAAAGGAAATGTCTTCCCATAAAAACTAGACAGAAAGCATTCTAAGAAACTTCTTTGGGATATATGTACTCAACTAACAGAGTTGAACCTTTCTATTTAGAGATCAGTTTTAAAAAGCTCTTTTTGTGGAATCCGCAAGTGGATATTTGAATAGCTCTGAGGATTTCGTTGGAGACGGGATTACGTATAAAAAGTAGACAGCAGCATTCTCAAAAGCTTCTTTGTGATCTTTGCTTTTAAATCGCAGAGTTCAATATTCCCTTCCGTAGAGAAGGTTTGAAACACTCTTTCTGTAGTATCTGGAAGTGGACATTTCGAGCGATTTCAGGCCTAGGTTGAAAAAGGAAATATCTTCCAATAAAAACTAGACGGAAGCATTCTCAAAAATTTCTTTGTGATGTGCGTCCTCAACTAACAGAGTTCATCCTTTCTTATGATACAGCAGTTTATAAACACTCTTTTTGTAGAATCTGCAAGTGGATATTTGCATAGCTCTAACCATTTCATAGGAAACGGGAATACCTTCATATAAAATCTAGACAGAGGCACCCTCAGAAACTGCTTTGTGATATCTGCATTCAAGTCACAGAGTTGAACATTCCCTTTCTTAGAGCAGGTTTGAGACAATCTATTTGTAGTATCTGGTAGTGGACATTTGGAGCGCTTTGACGCCTTTGGTGAAAAAGGAAATATCTTCCATAAAAACTAGACAGAAGCATTCCAAGAATCTTCCTTGCGATATATGTACTCAACTACCAGAGTTGAACCTTTCTATTGATAGATCAGTTTTGAAAAGCTCTTTTTGTGGAATCTGCAATTGGATATAAGGATAGTTCTGAGGATTTCGTTGGAGACGGGATTGCATATAAAAAGTAGACAGCAGCATTCCCAGAAGCTTCTTTGTGATGTTTGCTTTTAAGTCACAGAGTTGAATATTCCCTTCCATAGAGCAGGTTTGAAACCCTCTTTCTCTACTATCTGGAAGTGGACATTTCGAGCGCTTTCAGGCCTATGGTGAACAAGGAAATATCGTCCCATAAAAACTAGACAGAAGCATTAGCAGAAAATTGTTTGTGATGTGTGCCCTCAACTCACAGAGTGGAACACTTCGTTTCACAGAGCAGTTTGGAAACACGCTTTTTGTAGAATTTGCATGTGGATATTTGGATAGCTTTGTGGATTTCGTTGGAAACGGAAGTATCCTCATATAAAAATTAGACAGAAACATTCTCAGAAACCGCTTTGTGATGTCTGCATTCACGTCACAGAGTTGAACATTCCCTTTCATAGAGCAGGTTTGAAACACTCTTTCTGTAGTATCTGGATGTGGACACTTGGAGCACATTGACGCTTACGGTAAAAAAGGAAATATCTTCCCATAAAAACTAGACAGAAGCATTCTCACAAACTGGTTTGTGATGTATGTCCTCAACTAACAGCGTTGAACCTTTCTATTTACAGAGCAGTTTTGAAAGACTCTTTTTGGAGAATCTGTAAGCGGATATTTGGAGAGCTTCAAGGATTTCATTTTAAACCGTAATATCTTCAGGTAAAATCTAGCCAGAGGCATTCTCAGAAACTTATTTATGATGTGTGTCCTCAACTAACAGAGTACAACCTATCTTTTGATACAGCAGTTTGGAAACACTCTTTTTGTAGAATCTGCAAGTGGATATTTCGATAGCTGTAACGATTTCGTTGGAAATGGGAATACCTTCATATAAAATCTAGAGAGGCACTCTCCGAAAGTGCTTTGAGCTATCTGCTTTCAAGTCACAGAGTTGAACATTCCCTTTCTTAGAGAAGGTTTGAAACACTCTTTTTGTAGTATGTGTAAGTGGACACTTAGACCGCTTCGACCCCTTTGGTGAAAAAGGAAATGTCTTCCCATAAAAACTAGACAGAAGCATTCTAAGAAACTTCTTTGGGATATATGTACTCAACTAACAGAGTTGAACCTTTCTATTTCTGGGTCAGTTTTGAGAAGCTCTTTTTCTGTAATCTGCAAGTGGATATTCGGATAGCTCTGAGGATTTCCTTGGAAACGGGATTTCATATAAAATATAGACAGCAGCATTCTCAGAAGCTTCTTTGTGATGGTTGCTTTTAAGTCACAGAGTTGAATATTCCCTTCCATAGAGCAGGATTGAAACACTCTTTCTGTAGTATCCGGAAGTGGACATTTCGGGCGATTTCAGTCCTATGTTGAAAAAGGAAATATCATCCCATAAAAACTAGACAGAAGCATTCTCAGAAATTTCTTTGTGATGTGTGTCCTCAACTAACAGAGTTCAAACTGTCTTATGATACAGCAGTTTGGAAACACTCCTTTTGTAGAATATGCAAGTGGATATTTGGATAGCTCTAACTATTTCGTTGGAAACGGGAATATCTTCATATAAAATCTAGACACAAGCACTCTCAGAAACTACTTTCTGATATCTGCATTCAAGTCACAGAGTTGAATATTCCCTTTCTTAGAGCAGGTTTGAAACCGTCTTTTCGTGGAATCTGCAGGAGGATATTTGGATAGCTTTGAGGATTTCGTTGGAAAAGGGATTAAATATAAAAATAGAAAGCAGCATTCTCAGAAGCTTCTTTGTGATGTTTGCTTTTAAGTCACAGTGTTCAACATTCCCTTTCATAGAGCAGTTTTGAAACACTCTTTCTGTAGTATCTGGAAGTGGACATTTCGAGTGCTTTCAGGCCTATGGTGAAAAAGGAAATATCTTCCGATAAAAACTAGACAGAAGCATTCGCAGAAACTTGTTTGTGATATGTATCCTCAACTATCAGAGTTGAACATTTCATTTGACAGAGCAGTTTGGAAACACGCTTTTTGTAGAATCTGCAAGTGGATATTTGGATAGCTTTGTGGATTTCCTTGGAAACGGGAGTATCTTCATATAAAACCTAGACAGAAACATTCTCAGAAACTGCTATATGATGTCTGCATTCACGTCACAGAGTTGATCATTCCCTTTCATAGAGCAGGTTTGAAACACTCTTTCTGTACTATCTGGATGTGGACACTTGGAGCGCTTTGACGCTTAAGGTGCAAAAGAAATATCTTCCCATAAAAACTAGACAGAAGCATTCTCACAAACTGGATTGTGATGTTTGTCCTCAACTAACAGAGTTGAAACATTTTATTTGCAGAGCAGTTTTGAAAGACTGTTTTTGGAGAATCTTCAAGTGGATATTTGGAGAGCTTTAAGGAATTCATTGGAAACGGGAATATCTTCATATAAAATCTAGACAGAGGCATTCTCAGAAACTTCTTTGTGATGTGTGTCCTCAACTAACGGCGGTACATCCTGTCTTTTGATACAGCAGTTTGGAAACACTCTTTTTGTAGAATCTGCCAGTGGATATTTGCATAGCTCTAATGATTTCTTTGGAAACGGGAATACCTTCATATAAAATCTAGACAGAGGCACTCTCAGAAACTGCTTTGTGATATCTGCATTCAAGTCACACAGTTCAACATTCCCTTTCTTAGAGCAGGTTTGAAACACTCTTTTTGCAGGATCTGGAAGTGGACATTTGGAGCGCTTTGACGCCTTTGGTGATAAAGGAAATGTCTTCACATAAAAACTAGAAAGAAGCATTCTAAGAAACATCTTTGTGATATATGTACTCAACTAACCGAGTTGAACCTTGCTCTTTATAGATCAGCTTTTTAATGCTCTTTTTGTGGAATCTGCAAGTGGATATTTGGATAGCTTTCAGGATTTCGTTGGAAACGGGATTACAAACAAAATGTAGACAGCAGCATTCTCAGAAACTTCTTTGTGATGTTTGCTTTTAAGTCACAGAGTTGAACATTCCCTTCCATAGAGCAGTTTAGAAACACTCTTTCTATAGTATCTGGAAGTGGACATTTCGAGCGATTTCAGGCCTATGTTGAAAAACGAAATATCTTCCCATAAAAACTAGACAGTAGCATACTCAGAAGCTTCTTTGTGATGCTTGCTTTTAAGTCACAGAGTTGAACATTCCCTTTCGTAGAGCAGGTTTCAGACACTCTTTCTGTAGTATCTGGAAGTGGACATTTCGAGTGTTTTCAGGCCTATGGTGAACAAGGAAATATCTTCCCATAAAAACCAGACACAAGCATTTGCAGAAACTTGTTTGTGATGCGTGTCCTCAACTCACAGAATAGAACATTTCGTTTGACAGAGCAGCTTGGAAACACGCTTTTTGTAGAATCTGCAATTGGATATTTGGATAGCTTTGTGGATTTCTTTGGAAACGGGAGTATCTTCATATAAAACCTAGACGGAAACATTCTCAGAAACTGCTTTGTGATGTCTGCATTCACGTTACAGAGTTGAATATTCCCCTTCATAGAGCAGGTTTGATACACTCTTTCTGTAGTATCTGGATGTGGACACTTGGAGCGCTTTGACGCTTACAGTGAAAAAGGAAATATCTTCCCATAAAAACTAGACAGAAGCATTCTCACAAACTGGTTTGTGATGTATGTCCTCATCTAACAGAGTTGAACTTTTCTATTTACAGAGCAGTTTTGAAAGACTCTTTTTGGAGAATCTGCAAGTGGATATTTCGAGAGCTTTAAGGATTTCACTGGAAACCCGAATATCTTCAGGTAAAATCTAGACAGAGGCATTCTCAGAAACCTCTTTGTGATGTGTGTCCTCAACTAACAAAGTACTACCTGGCTTTTGATACAGCAGTTTGGAAACACTCTTTTTGTACAATCTGCAAGTGGATATTTGGATAGCTCTAAAGATTTCGTAGGAAACGGGAATACCTTCATATAAAATCTAGACAGAGGCACTCTCAGAAACTGCTTTGTGATATCTGCATTCAAGTCACAGTGTTGAACATTCCCTTTCTGAGAGCAGGTTTGAACCACTCTTTTTGTAGTATCTGGAAGTGGACATTTGGAGCGCTTTGACGCCATTGGTGAAAAAGGAAATGTCTTCCCATAAAAACTAGACAGAAGCATTCTAAGAAACTTCTTTGGGATATATGTACTCAACTAACAGAGTTGAAACTTTCTATTTAGAGATCAGTTTTGAAAAGCTCTTTTTGTGGAATCTGCAAGTCGATGTTAGGATACCGCCGAAGATTTCGTTGGAGACGGGATTACATATAAAAATAGACAGCAGCATTCTCAGAAGCTTCTTTGTGATGTTTGCTTTTAAATCACAGAGTTGAATATTCCCTTCCATAGAGCAGGTTTGAAACACTCTTTCTGTAGTATCTGGAAGTGGACATTTCGAGCGATTTCAGGCCTATGTTGAAAAAGGAAATATCTTCCCATAAAAACTAGACAGAGGCATTCTCAGAAACTTCTTTGTGATGTGTGTCCTCAACTAACAGAGTTCAACTTTCTTATGATACAGCAGTTTGGAAACACTCTTTATGTAGAATTTGCAAGTAGATATTTGGATAGCTCTATTTTGTTGGAAACGGGCATAACTTCATATAAAATCTAGACAGAAGCACTCTCAGAAACTACTTTGTGATATCTGCATTCAACTCACAGAGTTCAATATTCCCTTTCTTAGACCAGGTTTGAAACCGTCTTTTCGTGGAATCTGCAGGAGGATATTTGGATAGGTTTGAGGATTTCGGTGGAAACACGATTTCATATACAAAGTAGACAGCAGCATTCTCAGAAGCTTCTTTGTGATGTTTGCTTTTAAGTCACAAAGTTGAAAATTCCCTTTCATAGAGGAGGTTTCAAACACTCTTTCTGTAGTATCTGGAAGTGGACATTTCGAGCACTTTCAGGCCTATGGTGAAAAAGGAAATATCTTCCCATAAAAACTAGACAGAAGCATTCGCAGAAACTTGTTTGTGATGTGTGTCCTCAACTCACAGGGTTGAACATTTCGTTTGACACAGCAGTTTGGAAACATGCTTTTTGTAGAATCTGCAAGTAGATATTTGGATAGCTTTGTGGATTTCTTTGGAAATGGGAGTATCTCCATATAAAACATAGACAGAAACATTCTCAGAAACTGCTTTGTGATGTCTGTATTCACGTCACAGAGTTGAATATTTCCTTTCATAGAGCAGGTTTGAAACACTCTTTCTGTAGTATCTGGATGTGGACACTTGGAGCGCTTTGAGGCTTACGGTGCAAAAGGAAATATCTTCCAATGAAAACTAGACAGAAGCATTCTCAAAAACTAGTTTGTGATGTATTTCCTCAACTAACAGAGTTGAACCTTTCTATTTACAGAGTAGTTTTGAAAGACTCTTTTTGGAGAATCTACAAGTGGATATTTGAGAGCTTTAAGGATTTCATTGTAAACCGGAATATCTTCAGGTAAACTCTAGACAGAGGCATTCTCAGAAACTTCTTTGTGATGTGTGTCCTCAACTAACAGAGTTCAGCCTTTGTTATGATACAGCAGTTTGGAAACACTCTTTTTGTACTATCAGGAAGTGGACTTTTGGAGCGCTTTGACACCTTTGGTGATAAAGAGATGTCTTCCCATAAAAACCAGACGGAAGCATTCTAAGAGAATTCTTTGGGATATAAGTACTCAACTAACAGAGTTGAACCTTTCTATTTATAGATCAGTCTTGAAAAGCTCTTTTCGTGGAATCTGCAAGTGAATCTTAGGATAGCTCTGAGGATTTCGTTGGAAATCGGATTACATATAAAAAGTAGACAGCAGCATTCTCAGAAACTTCTTTGTGATGTTTGCTTTTAAGTCACAGAGTTCAATATTCCCTTCCATAGAGCCGGTTTGAAACACTTTTTTTGTAGTATCTGGAAGTGGACATTTCGAGCGATTTCAGGCCTATGTTGAAAAAGGAAACATCTTCCCATAAAAAAAGACAGAAGCATTCTCAGAAACTTCTTTGTGATGTGTGTCCTCAACTAACAGAGTTCAACCTCTCTTATAATACAGCAGTTTGAAAAAACACTTTTTGTAGAATATGCAAGTGGATATTTGAACAGCTCTAACTATTTCGTTCGAAATGGGAATATCTTCATATAAAATCTAGACAGAAGCACTCTCAGAAACTACATTGTGATATCAGTATTCAAATCACAGAGTTGAATATTCCCTTTCTTAGAGCAGGTTTGAAACCGTCTTTTCGTGGAAGCTGCAGGAGGATATTTGGATAGCTTTGAGGATTTCGTTGGAAACGGGATTACATATACAAAGTAGACAGCAACATTCTCAGAAGCTTCTTTGTGATGTTTGCTTCTAAGTCACAGAGTTGAACATTCCCTTTCATACAGCAGGTTTGAAACACTCTTTCTGTAGTATCTGGAAGTGGACATTTCGAGCGCTTTCAGGCCCATGGTGAAAAAGGAAATATCTCCCCATAAAAACTAGACAGAAGCATTCGCAGAAACTTGTTTGTGATGTGTGTCCTCAACCAACAGAGTTGAACATTTCCTGTGACAGAGCAGTTTGGAAACACGCTTTTTGTAGAATCTGCAAGTGGATATTTGGATAGCTTTGTGGATTTCCTTGGGAACGGGAGTATCTTCATATAAAACCTAGACGGAAACATTCTCCGAAACTCCTTTGTAATGTCTGCATTCACGTCACAGAGTTGAACATTCCCTTTCATAGAGCAGGTTTGAAACACTCTTTCTGAAGTATCTGGATGTCGACACTTGGAGCGCTTTGACGCTTACACTGAAAAAGGAAATAACTTCCCATGAAAACTAGACAGAAGCATTCTCACAAACTGGTTTGTGATGTATGTCCTCAACTAACAGAGTTGAACCTTTCTATTTACAGAGCAATTTTCAAAGACTCTTTTTGGAGAATCTGCAAGTGGATATCTGGAGATCTTTTAGGATTTCATTGGAAACCGGAATATCTTCAGGTAAAATCTAGACAGAGGCATTCTCAGAAACTTCTTCGTGATGTGTGTCCTCAACTAACAGAGTACAACCTGTCTTTTGATACAGCAGTTTGGAAACAATCTTTTTGTAGAATCTGCAAGAGGATATTTGGATAGCTCTAGCGATTTCGATGGATACGGGAATACCTTCATATGAAATCTAGACAGAGGCACTCTCAGAAACTGCTTTGTGATATCTGCATTCAAGTCACAGAGTTGAACATTCCCTTTCTTAGAGCAGGTTTGAAACTCTCTTTTTGTAGTATCTGGAAGTGGACACTTGGAGCGCTTTGACGCCTTTGGTGAAAAAGGAAATGTCTTCCCATAAAAACTAGACAGAAGCATTCTAAGAAACTTCTTTGGGATATATGTACTCAACTAACAGAGTTGAACCTTTCTATTTAGAGATCAGTTTTAAAAAGCTCTTTTTGTGGAATCCGCAAGTGGATATTAGAATAGCTCTGAGGATTTCGTTGGAGACGGGATTACGTATAAAAAGTAGACAGCAGCATTCTCAAAAGCTTCTTTGTGATCTTTGCTTTTAAATCGCAGAGTTCAATATTCCCTTCCGTAGAGAAGGTTTGAAACACTCTTTCTGTAGTATCTGGAAGTGGACATTTCGAGCGATTTCAGGCCTATGTTGAAAAAGGAAATATCTTCCAATAAAAACTAGACGGAAGCATTCTCAAAAATTTCTTTGTGATGTGCGTCCTCAACTAACAGAGTTCATCCTTTCTTATGATACAGCAGTTTATAAACACTCTTTTTGTAGAATCTGCAAGTGGATATTTGCATAGCTCTAACCATTTCATAGGAAACGGGAATACCTTCATATAAAATCTAGACAGAGGCACCCTCAGAAACTGCTTTGTGATATCTGCATTCAAGTCACAGAGTTGAACATTCCCTTTCTTAGAGCAGGTTTGAGACGATCTATTTGTAGTATCTGGTAGTGGACATTTGGAGCGCTTTGATGCCTTTGGTGAAAAAGGAAATATCTTCCATAAAAACTAGACAGAAGCATTCCAAGAATCTTCCTTGCGATATATGTACTCAACTACCAGAGTTGAACCTTTCTATTGATAGATCAGTTTTGAAAAGCTCTTTTTGTGGAATCTGCAATTGGATATAAGGATAGTTCTGAGGATTTCGTTGGAGACGGGATTGCATATAAAAAGTAGACAGCAGCATTCTCAGAAGCTTCTTTGTGATGTTTGCTTTTAAGTCACAGAGTTGAATATTCCCTTCCATAGAGCAGGTTTGAAACCCTCTTTGTCTACTATCTGGAAGTGGACATTTCGAGCGCTTTCAGGCCTATGGTGAACAAGGAAATATCGTCCCATAAAAACTAGACAGAAGCATTCGCAGAAACTTGTTTGTGATGTGTGTCCTCATCTCACAGAGGTGACCATTTCGTTTGACAGAGCAGTTTGGAAACACGCTTTTTGCAGAATACGCAAGTGGATATTTGGATAGCTGTAACGATTTCGTTGGATACGGGAATAACTTCATATAAATTCTAGACAGAGGCACTCTCAGAAACTGCTTTTTGATATCTGCATTCAAGTCACGGAGTTGAACATTCTCTTTCTTAGAGCAGGTTTGAAACACTCTTTTTGTAGTATCTGGAAGTGGACATTTGGAGGGCTTTGACGCCTTTGGTGAAAAAGGAAATGTCTTCCCATAAAAACTAGACAGAAGCATTCTAAGAAACTTCTTTGGGATATATGTACTCAACTAACAGAGTTGAACCTTTCTCTTTATAGATCAGTTTTGAAAAGCTCTTTTTGTGGAATCTGCAAGTGGATATTAAAATAGCTCTGAGGATTTCGTTGGAGACGGGATGACATATAAAAAGTAGACAGCTTGTCAAGGCTTTTTCTGCATCTATTGAGATAATCATGTGGTTTTTGTCTTTGGCTCTGTTTATATACTGGATTACATTTATTGATTTGCGTATATTGAACCAGCCTTGCATCCCAGGGATGAAGCCCACTTGATCATGGTGGATAAGTTTTTTGATGTGCTGCTGGATTCGGTTTGCCAGCATTTTATTGAGGACAGTCTAGTTTTTATGGGAAGATATTTCCTTTTTCCACATAGGCCTGAAATCGCTCGAAATGTCCTCTTCCAAATACTACAGAAAGAGAGTTTCAAACCTGCCTATGGAAGGGAATATTCAACTCTGTGACTTAAAAGGAAACATCACAAAGAAGCTCCTGAGAATGCTGC
>NC_000018.10:20625137-20641469 GCF_000001405.40 Homo sapiens
AGCATTCTCAGAAACGTCTTTGTGATGTGTGGCCTCAACTAACAGAGTTCAACCTTTCTTATGATACAGCAGTTTGGAAACACTCTTTTTGTAGAATATGCAATTGGATATTTGGATAGCTCTAAGTATTTCGTTGGAGACGGGAATATCTTCATATAAAATCTAGACAGAAGCACTCTCAGAAACTACTTTGTGATATCTGCATTCAAGTCACAGAGTTGAAAATTCCCTTTCTTAGACCAGGTTTTAAACCGTCTTCTCGTGGAATCTGCAGGAGAATATTTCGATAGCCTTGAGGGTTTAGTTGGAAACGGGATTACATATACAAAGTAGACAGCAGCATTCTCAGAAGCTTCTTTGTGATGTTTGCTTGTAAGTCACAGAGTTGAACATTCTCTTTCATAGAGCAGGTTTGAAACACTCTTCCTGTAGTATCTGGAAGTGGACATTTCGAGCGCTTTCAGGCCTATGGTGAACAAGGAAATATCTTCCCATAAAAACTAGATAGAAGCATTCGCAGAAACTTCTTTGTGATGTGTGTCCTCAACTCACAGAGTCGAACATTTCGTTTGACAGAGCAGTTTGGAAACACGCTTTTTGTAGAATCTGCAAGTGGATATTTGGATAGCTTTGCGGATTTTGCTTGAAACGGGAGTATCTTCCTATTAAACCTAGACAGAAACATTCTCAGAAACTGCTTTGTGATGTCTGCATTCACGTCACGGAGTTGAACATTCCCTTTCATAGAGCAGGTTTGAAACTCCCTTTCTGTAGTATCTGGATGTGGACACTTGGAGGGCTTTGACGCTTACGGTGAAAAAGGAAATATGTTCCCATGAAAACTAGACAGAAGCATTCTCACAAACTGGTTTGTGATGTATGTCCTCAACTAACAGACTTGAACCTTTCTATTTACAGAGCAGTTTTGAAAGACACTTTTTGGAGACTCTGCAAGTGGATATTTGGAGAGCTTTAAGGATTTCACTGGAAACCGGAATATCTTGAGGAAAAATCTAGACAGAGGCATTCTCAGAAACTTCTTTGTGATGTGTGTCCTCAACTAACAGAGTACAACTTGTCTTCTGATACAGCAGTTTCGAAACACTCTTTTTGTAGAAACTCCAAGAGGATATTTCGATAGCTCTAACGGTTTCGTTGGAAACCGGAATACCTTCATATAAAATTTAGCAGAGGCACTCTCAGAAACTGCTTTGTGATATCTGCATTCAAGTCACAGAGTTGAACATTCCCTTTCTTAGAGCAGGTTTGAAACACCCTTTTTGTAGTATCTGGAAGTGGACATTTGGAGCGCTTTGACGCCTCTGGTGAAAAAGGAAAGGTCTTCCCATAAAAACTAGACAGAAGCATTCTAAGGAACTTCTTTGGGATATATGTACTCAACTAACACAGTTGAACCTTTCTATTTATAGATCAGTTTTGAAAAGCTCTTTTTGTGGAATCCGCATGTGGATATTAGGATAGCACTGAGGATATCGTTGGAGACGGGATTACGTATAAAAAGTAGACAGCAGCATTCTCAGAAGCTTCTTTGTGATGTTTGCTTTTAAGTCACAGAAGTTGAATATTCCCTTCCATAGAGCAGGTTTGAAACCCTCTTTCTCTACTATCTGGAAGTGGACATTTCGAGCGCTTTCAGGCCTATGGTGAACAAGGAAATATCGTCCCATAAAAACTAGACAGAAGCATTCTCAGAAACTTCTTTGTGATGTGTGTCCTCAACTAACAGAGTTCAACCTCTCTTATGATACAGCAGTTTGGAAACACTCTTTTTGTAGAATATGCAACTGGATATTTGGAGAGCTCTAACTATTTTGTTGGTAACGGGAATATCTTCATATAAAATCTAGACAGAAGCACTCTCAGAAACTACTTTGTGATATCTGCATTCAAGTCACAGAGTTGAATATTCCCTTTCTTAGAGCAGGTTTGAAACCGTCTTTTCGTGGAATCTGCAGGAGGATATTTGGATAGCTTTGAGGATTTCGTAGGAAACGGGATTACATATACAAAGTGGACAGCAGCATTCTCAGAAGCTTCTTTGTGATGTTTGCTTTTAAGTCACAGAGTTGAACATTCCCTTTCATAGAGCAGGTTTCAAACACTCTTTCTGTAATATCTGGAAGTGGCCATTTCGAGCGCTTTCAGGCCTATGGTGAACAAGGAAATATCTTCCCATAAAAACTAAACAGAAGCCTTCGCAGAAACTTGTTTGTGATGTGTGTCCTCAACTCACAGAGTTGAACATTTCGTTTGACAGAGCAGTTTGGAAACACGCTTTTTGTAGAATCTGCAAGTGGATATTTGGATAGCTTTGTGGATTTCCTTGGAAACGGGAGTATCTTCATATAAAACCTAGACAGAAACATTCTCAGAAACTGCTTTGTGATGTCTGTATTCACGTCACAGAGTTGAATATTTCCTTTCATAGAGCAGGTTTGAAACACTCTTTCTGTAGTATCTGGATGTGGACACTTGGAGCGCTTTGAGGCTTACGGTGCAAAAGGAAATATCTTCCAATGAAAACTAGACAGAAGCATTCTCAAAAACTAGTTTGTGATGTATTTCCTCAACTAACAGAGTTGAACCTTTCTATTTACAGAGTAGTTTTGAAAGACTCTTTTTGGAGAATCTACAAGTGGATATTTGAGAGCTTTAAGGATTTCATTGTAAACCGGAATATCTTCAGGTAAACTCTAGACAGAGGCATTCTCAGAAACTTCTTTGTGATGTGTGTCCTCAACTAACAGAGTTCAGCCTTTGTTATGATACAGCAGTTTGGAAACACTCTTTTTGTACTATCAGGAAGTGGACTTTTGGAGCGCTTTGACACCTTTGGTGATAAAGAGATGTCTTCCCATAAAAACCAGACGGAAGCATTCTAAGAGAATTCTTTGGGATATACGTACTCAACTAACAGAGTTGAACCTTTCTATTTATAGATCAGTCTTGAAAAGCTCTTTTCGTGGAATCTGCAAGTGAATCTTAGGATAGCTCTGAGGATTGCGTTGGAAACGGGATTACATATAAAAAGTAGACAGCAGCATTCTCAGAAACTTCTTTGTGATGTTTGCTTTTAAGTCACAGAGTTCAATATTCCCTTCCATAGAGCCGGTTTGAAACACTTTTTTTGTAGTATCTGGAAGTGGACATTTCGAGCGATTTCAGGCCTATGTTGAAAAAGGAAACATCTTCCCATAAAAACAAGACAGAAGCATTCTCAGAAACTTCTTTGTGATGTGTGTCCTCAACTAACAGAGTTCAACCTCTCTTATAATACAGCAGTTTGAAAAAACACTTTTTGTAGAATATGCAAGTGGATATTTGAACAGCTCTAACTATTTCGTTCGAAATGGGAATATCTTCATATAAAATCTAGACAGAAGCACTCTCAGAAACTACATTGTGATATCAGTATTCAAATCACAGAGTTGAATATTCCCTTTCTTAGAGCAGGTTTGAAACCGTCTTTTCGTGGAAGCTGCAGGAGGATATTTGGATAGCTTTGAGGATTTCGTTGGAAACGGGATTACATATACAAAGTAGACAGCAACATTCTCAGAAGCTTCTTTGTGATGTTTGCTTCTAAGTCACAGAGTTGAACATTCCCTTTCATACAGCAGGTTTGAAACACTCTTTCTGTAGTATCTGGAAGTGGACATTTCGAGCGCTTTCAGGCCCATGGTGAAAAAGGAAATATCTCCCCATAAAAACTAGACAGAAGCATTCGCAGAAACTTGTTTGTGATGTGTGTCCTCAACCAACAGAGTTGAACATTTCCTGTGACAGAGCAGTTTGGAAACACGCTTTTTGTAGAATCTGCAAGTGGATATTTGGATAGCTTTGTGGATTTCCTTGGGAACGGGAGTATCTTCATATAAAACCTAGACGGAAACATTCTCCGAAACTCCTTTGTAATGTCTGCATTCACGTCACAGAGTTGAACATTCCCTTTCATAGAGCAGGTTTGAAACACTCTTTCTGAAGTATCTGGATGTGGACACTTGGAGCGCTTTGACGCTTACGGTGAAAAAAGGAATAACTTCCCATGAAAACTAGACAGAAGCATTCTCACAAACTGGTTTGTGATGTATGTCCTCAACTAACAGAGTTGAACCTTTCTATTTACAGAGCAGTTTTCAAAGACTCTTTTTGGAGAATCTGCAAGTGGATATCTGGAGATCTTTAAGGATTTCACTGGAAACCGGAATATCTTCAGGTAAAATCTAGACAGAGGCATTCTCGGAAACTTCTTCGTGATGTGCGTCCTCAACTAACAGAGTACAACCTGTCTTTTGATACATCAGTTTGGAAACACTCTTTTTGTAGAATCTGCAAGAGGATATTTGGATAGCTCTAGCGATTTCGATGGATACGGGAATACCTTCATATGAAATCTAGACAGAGGCACTCTCAGAAACTGCTTTGTGATATCTGCATTCAAGTCACAGAGTTGAACATTCCCTTTCTTAGAGCAGGTTTGAAACTCTCTTTTTGTAGTATCTGGAAGTGGACACTTGGAGCGCTTTGACGCCTTTGGTGAAAAAGGAAATGTCTTCCCATAAAAACTAGACAGAAGCATTCTAAGAAACTTCTTTGGGATATATGTACTCAACTAACAGAGTTGAACCTTTCTATTTAGAGATCAGTTTTAAAAAGCTCTTTTTGTGGAATCCGCAAGTGGATATTTGAATAGCTCTGAGGATTTCGTTGGAGACGGGATTACGTATAAAAAGTAGACAGCAGCATTCTCAAAAGCTTCTTTGTGATCTTTGCTTTTAAATCGCAGAGTTCAATATTCCCTTCCGTAGAGAAGGTTTGAAACACTCTTTCTGTAGTATCTGGAAGTGGACATTTCGAGCGATTTCAGGCCTAGGTTGAAAAAGGAAATATCTTCCAATAAAAACTAGACGGAAGCATTCTCAAAAATTTCTTTGTGATGTGCGTCCTCAACTAACAGAGTTCATCCTTTCTTATGATACAGCAGTTTATAAACACTCTTTTTGTAGAATCTGCAAGTGGATATTTGCATAGCTCTAACCATTTCATAGGAAACGGGAATACCTTCATATAAAATCTAGACAGAGGCACCCTCAGAAACTGCTTTGTGATATCTGCATTCAAGTCACAGAGTTGAACATTCCCTTTCTTAGAGCAGGTTTGAGACGATCTATTTGTAGTATCTGGTAGTGGACATTTGGAGCGCTTTGATGCCTTTGGTGAAAAAGGAAATATCTTCCATAAAAACTAGACAGAAGCATTCCAAGAATCTTCCTTGCGATATATGTACTCAACTACCAGAGTTGAACCTTTCTATTGATAGATCAGTTTTGAAAAGCTCTTTTTGTGGAATCTGCAATTGGATATAAGGATAGTTCTGAGGATTTCGTTGGAGACGGGATTGCATATAAAAAGTAGACAGCAGCATTCTCAGAAGCTTCTTTGTGATGTTTGCTTTTAAGTCACAGAGTTGAATATTCCCTTCCATAGAGCAGGTTTGAAACCCTCTTTGTCTACTATCTGGAAGTGGACATTTCGAGCGCTTTCAGGCCTATGGTGAACAAGGAAATATCGTCCCATAAAAACTAGACAGAAGCATTCGCAGAAACTTGTTTGTGATGTGTGTCCTCATCTCACAGAGGTGACCATTTCGTTTGACAGAGCAGTTTGGAAACACGCTTTTTGCAGAATACGCAAGTGGATATTTGGATAGCTGTAACGATTTCGTTGGATACGGGAATAACTTCATATAAATTCTAGACAGAGGCACTCTCAGAAACTGCTTTTTGATATCTGCATTCAAGTCACGGAGTTGAACATTCTCTTTCTTAGAGCAGGTTTGAAACACTCTTTTTGTAGTATCTGGAAGTGGACATTTGGAGGGCTTTGACGCCTTTGGTGAAAAAGGAAATGTCTTCCCATAAAAACTAGACAGAAGCATTCTAAGAAACTTCATTGGGATATATGTACTCAACTTACAGAGTTGAAACTTTCTCTTTATAGATCAGTTTGGAAAAGCTCTTTTTGTGGAATCTGCAAACGGATATCAGGATAGTTCTGAGGATGTCGTTGGAGACGGGATTACATATAAAAAGTAGACAGCAGCATTCTCAGGAGCTTCTTTGTGATGTTTGCTTTTAAGTGACAGAGTTGAATATTCCCTTCCACAGAGCAGGTTTGAAACACTCTTTCTGTAGTATCTGGAAGTGGACATTTCGAGCGATTTCAGGCGTATGTGGAAAAAGGAAATATCTTCCCATAAAAACTAGACAGAAGCATTCTCAGAAACTTCTTTGTGATGTGGGTCCTCAACTAACAGAGTTCAACTTTTCTTATGATACAGCAGCTTGAAAACACACTTTTTATAGAATTTGCAACTGGATACATGGATAGCTCTAACTATCTCGTTGGAAACGGGAATATCTTCATATAAAATCTCCACAGAAGCATTCTCAGAAACTACTTTGTGATATCTGCATTCACATCACAGAGTTGAACATTCGCTTTCATAGAGCAGGTGTGAAACACTCTTTCTGCAGTATCTGGATGTGGACACTTGGAGCGCTTTGACGCTTACGGTGCAAAAGGAAATATCTTCCCATAAAAACTAGACAGAAGCATTCTCACAAACTGGTTTGTGATGTATGTCCTCAACTAACAGCGTTGAACCTTTCTATTTACAGAGCAGTTTTGAAAGACTCTTTTTGGAGAATCTGTAAGCGGATATTTGGAGAGCTTCAAGGATTTCATTTTAAACCGTAATATCTTCAGGTAAAATCTAGCCAGAGGCATTCTCAGAAACTTATTTATGATGTGTGTCCTCAACTAACAGAGTACAACCTATCTTTTGATACAGCAGTTTGGAAACACTCTTTTTGTAGAATCTGCAAGTGGATATTTCGATAGCTGTAACGATTTCGTTGGAAATGGGAATACCTTCATATAAAATCTAGAGAGGCACTCTCCGAAAGTGCTTTGAGCTATCTGCTTTCAAGTCACAGAGTTGAACATTCCCTTTCTTAGAGAAGGTTTGAAACACTCTTTTTGTAGTATGTGTAAGTGGACACTTAGACCGCTTCGACCCCTTTGGTGAAAAAGGAAATGTCTTCCCATAAAAACTAGACAGAAGCATTCTAAGAAACTTCTTTGGGATATATGTACTCAACTAACAGAGTTGAACCTTTCTATTTCTGGGTCAGTTTTGAGAAGCTCTTTTTCTGTAATCTGCAAGTGGATATTCGGATAGCTCTGAGGATTTCCTTGGAAACGGGATTTCATATAAAATATAGACAGCAGCATTCTCAGAAGCTTCTTTGTGATGGTTGCTTTTAAGTCACAGAGTTGAATATTCCCTTCCATAGAGCAGGATTGAAACACTCTTTCTGTAGTATCCGGAAGTGGACATTTCGGGCGATTTCAGTCCTATGTTGAAAAAGGAAATATCATCCCATAAAAACTAGACAGAAGCATTCTCAGAAATTTCTTTGTGATGTGTGTCCTCAACTAACAGAGTTCAAACTGTCTTATGATACAGCAGTTTGGAAACACTCCTTTTGTAGAATATGCAAGTGGATATTTGGATAGCTCTAACTATTTCGTTGGAAACGGGAATATCTTCATATAAAATCTAGACACAAGCACTCTCAGAAACTACTTTCTGATATCTGCATTCAAGTCACAGAGTTGAATATTCCCTTTCTTAGAGCAGGTTTGAAACCGTCTTTTCGTGGAATCTGCAGGAGGATATTTGGATAGCTTTCAGGATTTCGTTGGAAACGGGATTACAAACAAAATGTAGACAGCAGCATTCTCAGAAACTTCTTTGTGATGTTTGCTTTTAAGTCACAGAGTTGAACATTCCCTTTCATAGAGCAGTTTAGAAACACTCTTTCTATAGTATCTGGAAGTGGACATTTCGAGCGATTTCAGGCCTATGTTGAAAAACGAAATATCTTCCCATAAAAACTAGACAGTAGCATACTCAGAAGCTTCTTTGTGATGCTTGCTTTTAAGTCACAGAGTTGAACATTCCCTTTCGTAGAGCAGGTTTCAGACACTCTTTCTGTAGTATCTGGAAGTGGACATTTCGAGTGTTTTCAGGCCTATGGTGAACAAGGAAATATCTTCCCATAAAAACCAGACACAAGCATTTGCAGAAACTTGTTTGTGATGCGTGTCCTCAACTCACAGAGTTGAACATTTCGTTTGACAGAGCAGCTTGGAAACACGCTTTTTGTAGAATCTGCAAGTGGATATTTGGATAGCTTTGTGGATTTCGTTGGAAACGGGAGAATCTCCATATAAAACCTAGACAGAAACATTCTCAGAAACTGCTTTGTGATGTCTGCATTCACGTTACAGAGTTGAATATTCCCCTTCATAGAGCAGGTTTGATACACTCTTTCTGTAGTATCTGGATGTGGACACTTGGAGCGCTTTGACGCTTACAGTGAAAAAGGAAATATCTTCCCATAAAAACTAGACAGAAGCATTCTCACAAACTGGTTTGTGATGTATGTCCTCATCTAACAGAGTTGAACTTTTCTATTTACAGAGCAGTTTTGAAAGACTCTTTTTGGAGAATCTGCAAGTGGATATTTCGAGAGCTTTAAGGATTTCACTGGAAACCCGAATATCTTCAGGTAAAATCTAGACAGAGGCATTCTCAGAAACCTCTTTGTGATGTGTGTCCTCAACTAACAAAGTACTACCTGGCTTTTGATACAGCAGTTTGGAAACACTCTTTTTGTACAATCTGCAAGTGGATATTTGGATAGCTCTAAAGATTTCGTAGGAAACGGGAATACCTTCATATAAAATCTAGACAGAGGCACTCTCAGAAACTGCTTTGTGATATCTGCATTCAAGTCACAGTGTTGAACATTCCCTTTCTGAGAGCAGGTTTGAACCACTCTTTTTGTAGTATCTGGAAGTGGACATTTGGAGCGCTTTGACGCCATTGGTGAAAAAGGAAATGTCTTCCCATAAAAACTAGACAGAAGCATTCTAAGAAACTTCTTTGGGATATATGTACTCAACTAACAGAGTTGAAACTTTCTATTTAGAGATCAGTTTTGAAAAGCTCTTTTTGTGGAATCTGCAAGTCGATGTTAGGATACCGCCGAAGATTTCGTTGGAGACGGGATTACATATAAAAATAGACAGCAGCATTCTACGAAGCTGCTTTGTGATGTTTGCTTTTAAGTCACAGAGTTGAACATTCCCTTACAGAGAGCAGGTTTGAAACACTCTTTATGTAGTATCTGGAAGAGGACATTTCGAGCGCTTTCAGGCCTATGGTGAAAAAGGAAATATCTTCCCATAAAAACTAGACAGAAGCATTCGCAGAAACTTGTTTGTGATATGTGTCCCAAACTCACAGACTTGAACATTTCGTTTGACAGAGCAGTTTGGAAACACGCTTTTTGTAGAATCTGCAAGTGGATATTTGGATAGCTTTGTGGATTTCGTTGGAAATGGGAGTATCTTCATATAAAACATAGACAGAAACATTCTCAGAAACTGCTTTGTGATATCTCCATTCACGTCACAGAGTTGAACATTCCCTTTCATAGAGCAGGTTTGAAAGACTCTTTCTGTAGTATCTGGATGTGGACACTTGGAGCGCTTTGACGCTTACGGTGAAAAAGGAAATATCTTCCCATAAAAACTAGACAGAAGCATTCTCACAAACTGGTTTGTGATGTAGGTCCTCAACTAACAGAGTACAACCTGTCTTTTGATACAGCAGTATTGAAACACTCTTTCTGTAGAATCTGCAATTGGATATTTGGATAGCTCTAACGATTTCGTTGGAAACGGGAATACTTTAATATAAAATCTAGACAGACGCACTCTCAGAAACTGCTTTGTGATATGTCAATTCAAGTCACAGAGTTGAACATTCCCTTTCTTAGAGCAGGTTTGAAACACTCTTTTTGTAGTATCTGGAAGTGGACATTTGGAGCGCTTTTACGCCTTTGGTGATAAAGGAAATGTCTTCACATAAAAACTAGACAGAAGCATTCTAAGAAACTTCTTTGGGATATATGTACTCAACTAACCGAGTTGAACCTTGCTCTTTATAGATCAGCTTTTTAATGCTCTTTTTGTGGAATCTGCAAGTGGATATTCGGATAGCTCTGAGGATTTCGTTGGAGACGGTATTACATATAAAAAGTACACAGCAGCATTCTCAGAAGCTTCTTTGTGATGTTTGCTTTTAAGTCACAGAGTTGAATATTCCCTTCCATAGAGCAGGCTTGAAACACTCTTTCTGTAGTATCTGGAAGTGGACATTTCGAGCGCTTTCAGGCCTGTGTTGAAAAAGGAAACATCTTCCCAAAAAAACTAGACAGAACCATACTCAGAAACTTCTTTGTGATGTGGGTCCTCAACTAACAGAGTTCAACAATTCTTATGATACAGGAGCTTGGAAACACCCTTTTTATAGAATTTGCAACTGGATATATGGATAGCTTTAACTATTTCGTTGGAAACGGGAATATCTTCATATAAAACCTAGGCAGAAGCACTCTCAGAAACTTCTTTGTGATATCTGCATTCATATCACAGAGTTGAATATTCCCTTTCTAAGAGCGGGTTTGAAACCGTCTTTCTGTGGAATCTGCAGGACGATATTTGGATAGCTTTGAGGATTTCGTTGGAAACGGGATTACACATACAAAGTAGACAGCAGCATTCTCAGAAGCTTCTTTGTGATGTTTGCTTTTAAGTCACAGAAGTTGAATATTCCCTTCCATAGAGCAGGTTTGAAACCCTCTTTCTCTACTATCTGGAAGTGGACATTTCGAGCGCTTTCAGGCCTATGGTGAACAAGGAAATATCGTCCCATAAAAACTAGACAGAAGCATTAGCAGAAAATTGTTTGTGATGTGTGCCCTCAACTCACAGAGTGGAACACTTCGTTTCACAGAGCAGTTTGGAAACACGCTTTTTGTAGAATTTGCATGTGGATATTTGGATAGCTTTGTGGATTTCGTTGGAAACGGAAGTATCCTCATATAAAAATTAGACAGAAACATTCTCAGAAACCGCTTTGTGATGTCTGCATTCACGTCACAGAGTTGAACATTCCCTTTCATAGAGCAGGTTTGAAACACTCTTTCTGTAGTATCTGGATGTGGACACTTGGAGCACATTGACGCTTACGGTAAAAAAGGAAATATCTTCCCATAAAAACTAGACAGAAGCATTCTCACAAACTGGTTTGTGATGTATGTCCTCAACTAACAGCGTTGAACCTTTCTATTTACAGAGCAGTTTTGAAAGACTCTTTTTGGAGAATCTGTAAGCGGATATTTGGAGAGCTTCAAGGATTTCATTTTAAACCGTAATATCTTCAGGTAAAATCTAGCCAGAGGCATTCTCAGAAACTTATTTATGATGTGTGTCCTCAACTAACAGAGTACAACCTATCTTTTGATACAGCAGTTTGGAAACACTCTTTTTGTAGAATCTGCAAGTGGATATTTCGATAGCTGTAACGATTTCGTTGGAAATGGGAATACCTTCATATAAAATCTAGAGAGGCACTCTCCGAAAGTGCTTTGAGCTATCTGCTTTCAAGTCACAGAGTTGAACATTCCCTTTCTTAGAGAAGGTTTGAAACACTCTTTTTGTAGTATGTGTAAGTGGACACTTAGACCGCTTCGACCCCTTTGGTGAAAAAGGAAATGTCTTCCCATAAAAACTAGACAGAAGCATTCTAAGAAACTTCTTTGGGATATATGTACTCAACTAACAGAGTTGAACCTTTCTATTTCTGGGTCAGTTTTGAGAAGCTCTTTTTCTGTAATCTGCAAGTGGATATTCGGATAGCTCTGAGGATTTCCTTGGAAACGGGATTTCATATAAAATATAGACAGCAGCATTCTCAGAAGCTTCTTTGTGATGGTTGCTTTTAAGTCACAGAGTTGAATATTCCCTTCCATAGAGCAGGATTGAAACACTCTTTCTGTAGTATCCGGAAGTGGACATTTCGGGCGATTTCAGTCCTATGTTGAAAAAGGAAATATCATCCCATAAAAACTAGACAGAAGCATTCTCAGAAATTTCTTTGTGATGTGTGTCCTCAACTAACAGAGTTCAAACTGTCTTATGATACAGCAGTTTGGAAACACTCCTTTTGTAGAATATGCAAGTGGATATTTGGATAGCTCTAACTATTTCGTTGGAAACGGGAATATCTTCATATAAAATCTAGACACAAGCACTCTCAGAAACTACTTTCTGATATCTGCATTCAAGTCACAGAGTTGAATATTCCCTTTCTTAGAGCAGGTTTGAAACCGTCTTTTCGTGGAATCTGCAGGAGGATATTTGGATAGCTTTGAGGATTTCGTTGGAAAAGGGATTAAATATAAAAATAGAAAGCAGCATTCTCAGAAGCTTCTTTGTGATGTTTGCTTTTAAGTCACAGTGTTCAACATTCCCTTTCATAGAGCAGTTTTGAAACACTCTTTCTGTAGTATCTGGAAGTGGACATTTCGAGTGCTTTCAGGCCTATGGTGAAAAAGGAAATATCTTCCGATAAAAACTAGACAGAAGCATTCGCAGAAACTTGTTTGTGATATGTATCCTCAACTATCAGAGTTGAACATTTCATTTGACAGAGCAGTTTGGAAACACGCTTTTTGTAGAATCTGCAAGTGGATATTTGGATAACTTTGTGGATTTCCTTGGAAACGGGAGTATCTTCATATAAAACCTAGACAGAAACATTCTCAGAAACTGCTATATGATGTCTGCATTCACGTCACAGAGTTGATCATTCCCTTTCATAGAGCAGGTTTGAAACACTCTTTCTGTACTATCTGGATGTGGACACTTGGAGCGCTTTGACGCTTAAGGTGCAAAAGAAATATCTTCCCATAAAAACTAGACAGAAGCATTCTCACAAACTGGATTGTGATGTTTGTCCTCAACTAACAGAGTTGAAACATTTTATTTGCAGAGCAGTTTTGAAAGACTGTTTTTGGAGAATCTTCAAGTGGATATTTGGAGAGCTTTAAGGAATTCATTGGAAACGGGAATATCTTCATATAAAATCTAGACAGAGGCATTCTCAGAAACTTCTTTGTGATGTGTGTCCTCAACTAACGGCGGTACATCCTGTCTTTTGATACAGCAGTTTGGAAACACTCTTTTTGTAGAATCTGCCAGTGGATATTTGCATAGCTCTAATGATTTCTTTGGAAACGGGAATACCTTCATATAAAATCTAGACAGAGGCACTCTCAGAAACTGCTTTGTGATATCTGCATTCAAGTCACACAGTTCAACATTCCCTTTCTTAGAGCAGGTTTGAAACACTCTTTTTGCAGGATCTGGAAGTGGACATTTGGAGCGCTTTGACGCCTTTGGTGATAAAGGAAATGTCTTCACATAAAAACTAGAAAGAAGCATTCTAAGAAACATCTTTGTGATATATGTACTCAACTAACCGAGTTGAACCTTGCTCTTTATAGATCAGCTTTTTAATGCTCTTTTTGTGGAATCTGCAAGTGGATATTTGGATAGCTTTCAGGATTTCGTTGGAAACGGGATTACAAACAAAATGTAGACAGCAGCATTCTCAGAAACTTCTTTGTGATGTTTGCTTTTAAGTCACAGAGTTGAACATTCCCTTCCATAGAGCAGTTTAGAAACACTCTTTCTATAGTATCTGGAAGTGGACATTTCGAGCGATTTCAGGCCTATGTTGAAAAACGAAATATCTTCCCATAAAAACTAGACAGTAGCATACTCAGAAGCTTCTTTGTGATGCTTGCTTTTAAGTCACAGAGTTGAACATTCCCTTTCGTAGAGCAGGTTTCAGACACTCTTTCTGTAGTATCTGGAAGTGGACATTTCGAGTGTTTTCAGGCCTATGGTGAACAAGGAAATATCTTCCCATAAAAACCAGACACAAGCATTTGCAGAAACTTGTTTGTGATGCGTGTCCTCAACTCACAGAATAGAACATTTCGTTTGACAGAGCAGCTTGGAAACACGCTTTTTGTAGAATCTGCAAGTGGATATTTGGATAGCTTTGTGGATTTCGTTGGAAACGGGAGAATCTCCATATAAAACCTAGACAGAAACATTCTCAGAAACTGCTTTGTGATGTCTGCATTCACGTTACAGAGTTGAATATTCCCCTTCATAGAGCAGGTTTGATACACTCTTTCTGTAGTATCTGGATGTGGACACTTGGAGCGCTTTGACGCTTACAGTGAAAAAGGAAATATCTTCCCATAAAAACTAGACAGAAGCATTCTCACAAACTGGTTTGTGATGTATGTCCTCATCTAACAGAGTTGAACTTTTCTATTTACAGAGCAGTTTTGAAAGACTCTTTTTGGAGAATCTGCAAGTGGATATTTCGAGAGCTTTAAGGATTTCACTGGAAACCCGAATATCTTCAGGTAAAATCTAGACAGAGGCATTCTCAGAAACCTCTTTGTGATGTGTGTCCTCAACTAACAAAGTACTACCTGGCTTTTGATACAGCAGTTTGGAAACACTCTTTTTGTACAATCTGCAAGTGGATATTTGGATAGCTCTAAAGATTTCGTAGGAAACGGGAATACCTTCATATAAAATCTAGACAGAGGCACTCTCAGAAACTGCTTTGTGATATCTGCATTCAAGTCACAGTGTTGAACATTCCCTTTCTGAGAGCAGGTTTGAACCACTCTTTTTGTAGTATCTGGAAGTGGACATTTGGAGCGCTTTGACGCCATTGGTGAAAAAGGAAATGTCTTCCCATAAAAACTAGACAGAAGCATTCTAAGAAACTTCTTTGGGATATATGTACTCAACTAACAGAGTTGAAACTTTCTATTTAGAGATCAGTTTTGAAAAGCTCTTTTTGTGGAATCTGCAAGTCGATGTTAGGATACCGCCGAAGATTTCGTTGGAGACGGGATTACATATAAAAATAGACAGCAGCATTCTCAGGAGCTTCTTTGTGATGATTGCTTTTAAGTCACAGAGTTGAATATTCCCTTCCATAGGGCAGGTTTGAAACACTCTTTCTGTAGTATCTGGAAGTGGACATTTCGAGCGATTTGAGGCTTATGTGGAAAAAGGAAATATCTTCCCATAAAAACTAGACAGAAGCATTCTCAGAAACTTCTTTGTGATGTGGGTCCTCAACTAACAGAGTTCAACTTTTCTTATGATACAGCAGCTTGAAAACACACTTTTTATAGAATTTGCAACTGGATACATGGATAGCTCTAACTATCTCGTTGGAAACGGGAATATCTTCATATAAAATCTCCACAGAAGCACTCTCAGAAACTACTTTGTGATATCTGCATTGATATCACTGAGTTGAATATTCCCTTTCTAAGAGCAGGTTTGAAACCATCTTTCTGTGGAATCTGCAGGAGGATGTTTGGGTAGCTTTGAGGATTTCGTTGGAAACGGGATTACACATACAAAGTAGACAGCAGCATTCTCAGAAGCTTCTTTGTGATGTTTGCTTTTAAGTCACACAGTTGAACACTGACTTTCATAGGGCAGGTTTCAAACACTCTCTCTGTAGTATCTGGAAGTGGACATTTCGAGCACTTTCTGGCCTATGGTGAACAAGGAAATATCTTCCCATGCAAACTAGACAGAAGCATTCGCAGAAACTTGTTTGTGATGTGTGTCCTCAACTCACAGAGTTGAACATTTCGTTTGACAGAGCAGTTTGGAAACTCGCTTTTTGTAGAATCTGCAAGTGGATATTTGGATAGCTTTGTGGATTTCGTTGGAAAGGGGAGTATCTTCATGGAAAAACTAGACAGAAACATTCTCAGAAACTGCTTCGTGATACCTGCATTCAAGTCACAGAGTTGAACATTTCCTTTCTTAAAGCAGGTTTGAAACACTCTTTTTGTAGTATCTGGAACTGGAAATTTGGAGCGCTTTGATGCCTTTGGTGTAAAAGGATATGTCTTCCCATCAAAACTAGACCGAAACATTCTAAGAAACTTCTTTGGGATACATGTACTGAACTGACAGAGTTGAACCTATCTCTTTATAGATCAGTTTTGAAAAGCTCTTTTTGTGGAATCTGCAAATGGATATTAGGATAGCTCTGAGGATTTCGTTGGAGACGGCATTACATATAAAAAGTAGACAGCAGCATTCTCAGAAGCTTCTTTGTGATGTTTGCTTTTAAGTCACAGAGTTGAATATTCCATTCCATAGAGCAGGTTTGAAACCCTCTTTCTCTACTATCTGGAAGTGGACATTTCGAGCGCTTTCAGGCCTATCGTGAACAAGGGAAATATCGTCCCATAAAAACTAGACAGA
>NC_000018.10:20641569-20652427 GCF_000001405.40 Homo sapiens
CCTCAATAAAATGCTGGCAAACCGAATCCAGCAGCACATCAAAAAACTTATCCACCATGGATCAAGTGGGCCTTCATCCCTGGGATGCAAGGGCTGGGTTCAATATACGCAAATCAATAAATGAACATTCTCAGAAACCGCTTTGTGATGTCTGCATTCACGTCACAGAGTTGAACGTTCCCTTTCATAGAGCAGGTTTGAAACACTCTTTCTGTAGTATCTGGATGTGGACACTTGGAGCACATTGACGCTTACGGTAAAAAAGGAAATATCTTCCCATAAAAACTAGACAGAAGCATTCTCACAAACTGGTTTGTGATGTATGTCCTCAACTAACAGCGTTGAACCTTTCTATTTACAGAGCAGTTTTGAAAGACTCTTTTTGGAGAATCTGTAAGCGGATATTTGGAGAGCTTCAAGGATTTCATTTTAAACCGTAATATCTTCAGGTAAAATCTAGCCAGAGGCATTCTCAGAAACTTATTTATGATGTGTGTCCTCAACTAACAGAGTACAACCTATCTTTTGATACAGCAGTTTGGAAACACTCTTTTTGTAGAATCTGCAAGTGGATATTTCGATAGCTGTAACGATTTCGTTGGAAATGGGAATACCTTCATATAAAATCTAGAGAGCACTCTCCGAAAGTGCTTTGAGCTATCTGCTTTCAAGTCACAGAGTTGAACATTCCCTTTCTTAGAGAAGGTTTGAAACACTCTTTTTGTAGTATGTGTAAGTGGACACTTAGACCGCTTCGACCCCTTTGGTGAAAAAGGAAATGTCTTCCCATAAAAACTAGACAGAAGCATTCTAAGAAACTTCTTTGGGATATATGTACTCAACTAACAGAGTTGAACCTTTCTATTTCTGGGTCAGTTTTGAGAAGCTCTTTTTCTGTAATCTGCAAGTGGATATTCGGATAGCTCTGAGGATTTCCTTGGAAACGGGATTTCATATAAAATATAGACAGCAGCATTCTCAGAAGCTTCTTTGTGATGGTTGCTTTTAAGTCACAGAGTTGAATATTCCCTTCCATAGAGCAGGATTGAAACACTCTTTCTGTAGTATCCGGAAGTGGACATTTCGGGCGATTTCAGTCCTATGTTGAAAAAGGAAATATCATCCCATAAAAACTAGACAGAAGCATTCTCAGAAATTTCTTTGTGATGTGTGTCCTCAACTAACAGAGTTCAAACTGTCTTATGATACAGCAGTTTGGAAACACTCCTTTTGTAGAATATGCAAGTGGATACTTGGATAGCTCTAACTATTTCGTTGGAAACGGGAATATCATCATATAAAATCTAGACACAAGCACTCTCAGAAACTACATTCTAATATCTGCATTCAAGTCACAGAGTTGAATATTCCCTTTCTTAGAGCAGGTTTGAAACCGTCTTTTCGTGGAATGTGCAGGAGGATATTTGGATAGCTTTGAGGATTTCGTTGGAAAAGGGATTACATATACAAAGTAGAAAGCAGCATTCTCAGAAGCTTCTTTGTGATGTTTGCTTTTAAGTCACAGTGTTCAACATTCCCTTTCATAGAGCAGTTTTGAAACACTCTTTCTGTAGTATCTGGAAGTGGACATTTCGAGTGCTTTCAGGCCTATGGTGAAAAAGGAAATATCTTCCGATAAAAACTAGACAGAAGCATTCGCAGAAACTTGTTTGTGATATGTATCCTCAACTATCAGAGTTGAACATTTCATTTGACAGAGCAGTTTGGAAACACGCTTTTTGTAGAATCTGCAAGTGGATATTTGGATAGCTTTGTGGATTTCCTTGGAAACGGGAGTATCTTCATATAAAACCTAGACAGAAACATTCTCAGAAACTGCTATATGATGTCTGCATTCACGTCACAGAGTTGATCATTCCCTTTCATAGAGCAGGTTTGAAACACTCTTTCTGTACTATCTGGATGTGGACACTTGGAGCGCTTTGACGCTTAAGGTGCAAAAGAAATATCTTCCCATAAAAACTAGACAGAAGCATTCTCACAAACTGGATTGTGATGTTTGTCCTCAACTAACAGAGTTGAAACATTTTATTTGCAGAGCAGTTTTGAAAGACTGTTTTTGGAGAATCTTCAAGTGGATATTTGGAGAGCTTTAAGGAATTCATTGGAAACGGGAATATCTTCATATAAAATCTAGACAGAGGCATTCTCAGAAACTTCTTTGTGATGTGTGTCCTCAACTAACGGCGGTACATCCTGTCTTTTGATACAGCAGTTTGGAAACACTCTTTTTGTAGAATCTGCCAGTGGATATTTGCATAGCTCTAATGATTTCTTTGGAAACGGGAATACCTTCATATAAAATCTAGACAGAGGCACTCTCAGAAACTGCTTTGTGATATCTGCATTCAAGTCACACAGTTCAACATTCCCTTTCTTAGAGCAGGTTTGAAACACTCTTTTTGCAGGATCTGGAAGTGGACATTTGGAGCGCTTTGACGCCTTTGGTGATAAAGGAAATGTCTTCACATAAAAACTAGAAAGAAGCATTCTAAGAAACATCTTTGTGATATATGTACTCAACTAACCGAGTTGAACCTTGCTCTTTATAGATCAGCTTTTTAATGCTCTTTTTGTGGAATCTGCAAGTGGATATTTGGATAGCTTTCAGGATTTCGTTGGAAACGGGATTACAAACAAAATGTAGACAGCAGCATTCTCAGAAACTTCTTTGTGATGTTTGCTTTTAAGTCACAGAGTTGAACATTCCCTTCCATAGAGCAGTTTAGAAACACTCTTTCTATAGTATCTGGAAGTGGACATTTCGAGCGATTTCAGGCCTATGTTGAAAAACGAAATATCTTCCCATAAAAACTAGACAGTAGCATACTCAGAAGCTTCTTTGTGATGCTTGCTTTTAAGTCACAGAGTTGAACATTCCCTTTCGTAGAGCAGGTTTCAGACACTCTTTCTGTAGTATCTGGAAGTGGACATTTCGAGTGTTTTCAGGCCTATGGTGAACAAGGAAATATCTTCCCATAAAAACCAGACACAAGCATTTGCAGAAACTTGTTTGTGATGCGTGTCCTCAACTCACAGAGTTGAACATTTCGTTTGACAGAGCAGCTTGGAAACACGCTTTTTGTAGAATCTGCAAGTGGATATTTGGATAGCTTTGTGGATTTCGTTGGAAACGGGAGAATCTCCATATAAAACCTAGACAGAAACATTCTCAGAAACTGCTTTGTGATGTCTGCATTCACGTTACAGAGTTGAATATTCCCCTTCATAGAGCAGGTTTGATACACTCTTTCTGTAGTATCTGGATGTGGACACTTGGAGCGCTTTGACGCTTACAGTGAAAAAGGAAATATCTTCCCATAAAAACTAGACAGAAGCATTCTCACAAACTGGTTTGTGATGTATGTCCTCATCTAACAGAGTTGAACTTTTCTATTTACAGAGCAGTTTTGAAAGACTCTTTTTGGAGAATCTGCAAGTGGATATTTCGAGAGCTTTAAGGATTTCACTGGAAACCCGAATATCTTCAGGTAAAATCTAGACAGAGGCATTCTCAGAAACCTCTTTGTGATGTGTGTCCTCAACTAACAAAGTACTACCTGGCTTTTGATACAGCAGTTTGGAAACACTCTTTTTGTACAATCTGCAAGTGGATATTTGGATAGCTCTAAAGATTTCGTAGGAAACGGGAATACCTTCATATAAAATCTAGACAGAGGCACTCTCAGAAACTGCTTTGTGATATCTGCATTCAAGTCACAGTGTTGAACATTCCCTTTCTGAGAGCAGGTTTGAACCACTCTTTTTGTAGTATCTGGAAGTGGACATTTGGAGCGCTTTGACGCCATTGGTGAAAAAGGAAATGTCTTCCCATAAAAACTAGACAGAAGCATTCTAAGAAACTTCTTTGGGATATATGTACTCAACTAACAGAGTTGAAACTTTCTATTTAGAGATCAGTTTTGAAAAGCTCTTTTTGTGGAATCTGCAAGTCGATGTTAGGATACCGCCGAAGATTTCGTTGGAGACGGGATTACATATAAAAATAGACAGCAGCATTCTCAGAAGCTTCTTTGTGATGTTTGCTTTTAAATCACAGAGTTGAATATTCCCTTCCATAGAGCAGGTTTGAAACACTCTTTCTGTAGTATCTGGAAGTGGACATTTCGAGCGATTTCAGGCCTATGTTGAAAAAGGAAATATCTTCCCATAAAAACTAGACAGAAGCATTCTCAGAAACTTCTTTGTGATGTGTGTCCTCAACTAACAGAGTTCAACCTCTCTTATGATACAGCAGTTTGGAAACACTCTTTTTGTAGAATATGCAACTGGATATTTGGAGAGCTCTAACTATTTTGTTGGTAACGGGAATATCTTCATATAAAATCTAGACAGAAGCACTCTCAGAAACTACTTTGTGATATCTGCATTCAAGTCACAGAGTTGAATATTCCCTTTCTTAGAGCAGGTTTGAAACCGTCTTTTCGTGGAATCTGCAGGAGGATATTTGGATAGCTTTGAGGATTTCGTAGGAAACGGGATTACATATACAAAGTGGACAGCAGCATTCTCAGAAGCTTCTTTGTGATGTTTGCTTTTAAGTCACAGAGTTGAACATTCCCTTTCATAGAGCAGGTTTCAAACACTCTTTCTGTAATATCTGGAAGTGGCCATTTCGAGCGCTTTCAGGCCTATGGTGAACAAGGAAATATCTTCCCATAAAAACTAAACAGAAGCCTTCGCAGAAACTTGTTTGTGATGTGTGTCCTCAACTCACAGAGTTGAACATTTCGTTTGACAGAGCAGTTTGGAAACACGCTTTTTGTAGAATCTGCAAGTGGATATTTGGATAGCTTTGTGGATTTCCTTGGAAACGGGAGTATCTTCATATAAAACCTAGAAAGAAACATTCTCAGAAACTGCTTTGTGATGTCTGTATTCACGTCACAGAGTTGAATATTTCCTTTCATAGAGCAGGTTTGAAACACTCTTTCTGTAGTATCTGGATGTGGACACTTGGAGCGCTTTGAGGCTTACGGTGCAAAAGGAAATATCTTCCAATGAAAACTAGACAGAAGCATTCTCAAAAACTAGTTTGTGATGTATTTCCTCAACTAACAGAGTTGAACCTTTCTATTTACAGAGTAGTTTTGAAAGACTCTTTTTGGAGAATCTACAAGTGGATATTTGAGAGCTTTAAGGATTTCATTGTAAACCGGAATATCTTCAGGTAAACTCTAGACAGAGGCATTCTCAGAAACTTCTTTGTGATGTGTGTCCTCAACTAACAGAGTTCAGCCTTTGTTATGATACAGCAGTTTGGAAACACTCTTTTTGTACTATCAGGAAGTGGACTTTTGGAGCGCTTTGACACCTTTGGTGATAAAGAGATGTCTTCCCATAAAAACCAGACGGAAGCATTCTAAGAGAATTCTTTGGGATATACGTACTCAACTAACAGAGTTGAACCTTTCTATTTATAGATCAGTCTTGAAAAGCTCTTTTCGTGGAATCTGCAAGTGAATCTTAGGATAGCTCTGAGGATTGCGTTGGAAACGGGATTACATATAAAAAGTAGACAGCAGCATTCTCAGAAACTTCTTTGTGATGTTTGCTTTTAAGTCACAGAGTTCAATATTCCCTTCCATAGAGCCGGTTTGAAACACTTTTTTTGTAGTATCTGGAAGTGGACATTTCGAGCGATTTCAGGCCTATGTTGAAAAAGGAAACATCTTCCCATAAAAACAAGACAGAAGCATTCTCAGAAACTTCTTTGTGATGTGTGTCCTCAACTAACAGAGTTCAACCTCTCTTATAATACAGCAGTTTGAAAAAACACTTTTTGTAGAATATGCAAGTGGATATTTGAACAGCTCTAACTATTTCGTTCGAAATGGGAATATCTTCATATAAAATCTAGACAGAAGCACTCTCAGAAACTACATTGTGATATCTGTATTCAAGTCACAGAGTTGAATATTCCCTTTCTTAGAGCAGGTTTGAAACCGTCTTTTCGTGGAAGCTGCAGGAGGATATTTGGATAGCTTTGAGGATTTCGTTGGAAACGGGATTACATATACAAAGTAGACAGCAACATTCTCAGAAGCTTCTTTGTGATGTTTGCTTCTAAGTCACAGAGTTGAACATTCCCTTTCATACAGCAGGTTTGAAACACTCTTTCTGTAGTATCTGGAAGTGGACATTTCGAGCGCTTTCAGGCCCATGGTGAAAAAGGAAATATCTCCCCATAAAAACTAGACAGAAGCATTCGCAGAAACTTGTTTGTGATGTGTGTCCTCAACCAACAGAGTTGAACATTTCCTGTGACAGAGCAGTTTGGAAACACGCTTTTTGTAGAATCTGCAAGTGGATATTTGGATAGCTTTGTGGATTTCCTTGGGAACGGGAGTATCTTCATATAAAACCTAGACGGAAACATTCTCCGAAACTCCTTTGTAATGTCTGCATTCACGTCACAGAGTTGAACATTCCCTTTCATAGAGCAGGTTTGAAACACTCTTTCTGAAGTATCTGGATGTGGACACTTGGAGCGCTTTGACGCTTACGGTGAAAAAAGAAATAACTTCCCATGAAAACTAGACAGAAGCATTCTCACAAACTGGTTTGTGATGTATGTCCTCAACTAACAGAGTTGAACCTTTCTATTTACAGAGCAGTTTTCAAAGACTCTTTTTGGAGAATCTGCAAGTGGATATCTGGAGATCTTTAAGGATTTCACTGGAAACCGGAATATCTTCAGGTAAAATCTAGACAGAGGCATTCTCGGAAACTTCTTCGTGATGTGCGTCCTCAACTAACAGAGTACAACCTGTCTTTTGATACATCAGTTTGGAAACACTCTTTTTGTAGAATCTGCAAGAGGATATTTGGATAGCTCTAGCGATTTCGATGGATACGGGAATACCTTCATATGAAATCTAGACAGAGGCACTCTCAGAAACTGCTTTGTGATATCTGCATTCAAGTCACAGAGTTGAACATTCCCTTTCTTAGAGCAGGTTTGAAACTCTCTTTTTGTAGTATCTGGAAGTGGACACTTGGAGCGCTTTGACGCCTTTGGTGAAAAAGGAAATGTCTTCCCATAAAAACTAGACAGAAGGATTCTCAGAAACATGTTTGTGATGTGTGTACTCAGCTAACACAGTGGAACCTTTCTTTTTACAGGGCAGCTTTGAAACACTATTTTTCTAGAATGTGCAAGTTGATATTTGGATACCTTTAATGATATCGTTGGAAACGGGAATATCTTCATATAAAATCTAGACAGAAGCATTCGCAGAACCTTCTTTGTGATGTGTGTCCTCAACTAACAGAGTTGAACGTTTCGTTTGAATGAGCAGTTCAGAAACACACTTTTTGTAGAATCTGCAAGTGGATATTTTGATAGCTTTGTGGATTTCGTTGGAAACCGGAATATCTTCATATAAAATCTAGACAGAAACATTCTCAGAAACTGCTTTGTGATGTCTGTATTCACGTCACAGAGTTGAATATTTCCTTTCATAGAGCAGGTTTGAAACACTCTTTCTGTAGTACCTGGATGTGGACACTTGGAGCGCTTTGAGGCTTACGGTGCAAAAGGAAATATCTTCCAATGAAAACTAGACAGAAGCATTCTCAAAAACTAGTTTGTGATGTATTTCCTCAACTAACAGAGTTGAACCTTTCTATTTACAGAGTAGTTTTGAAAGACTCTTTTTGGAGAATCTGCAAGTGGATATTTGGAGAGCTTTAAGGATTTCATTGTAAACCGGAATATCTTCAGGTAAAATCTAGACAGAGGCATTCTCAGAAACTTCTTTGTGACGTGTGTCCTCAACTAACAGAGTTCAGCCTTTGTTATGATACAGCAGTTTGGAAACACTCTTTTTGTACTATCAGGAAGTGGACTTCTGGAGCGCTTTGACACCTTTGGTGATAAAGAGATGTCTTCCCATAAAAACCAGACGGAAGCATTCTAAGAGAATTCTTTGGGATATACGTACTCAACTAACAGAGTTGAACCTTTCTATTTATAGATCAGTCTTGAAAAGCTCTTTTCGTGGAATCTGCAAGTGAATCTTAGGATAGCTCTGAGGATTGCGTTGGAAACGGGATTACATATAAAAAGTAGACAGCAGCATTCTCAGAAACTTCTTTGTGATGTTTGCTTTTAAGTCACAGAGTTCAATATTCCCTTCCATAGAGCCGGTTTGAAACACTTTTTTTGTAGTATCTGGAAGTGGACATTTCGAGCGATTTCAGGCCTATGTTGAAAAAGGAAACATCTTCCCATAAAAACAAGACAGAAGCATTCTCAGAAACTTCTTTGTGATGTGTGTCCTCAACTAACAGAGTTCAACCTCTCTTATAATACAGCAGTTTGAAAAAACACTTTTTGTAGAATATGCAAGTGGATATTTGAACAGCTCTAACTATTTCGTTCGAAATGGGAATATCTTCATATAAAATCTAGACAGAAGCACTCTCAGAAACTACATTGTGATATCAGTATTCAAATCACAGAGTTGAATATTCCCTTTCTTAGAGCAGGTTTGAAACCGTCTTTTCGTGGAAGCTGCAGGAGGATATTTGGATAGCTTTGAGGATTTCGTTGGAAACGGGATTACATATACAAAGTAGACAGCAACATTCTCAGAAGCTTCTTTGTGATGTTTGCTTCTAAGTCACAGAGTTGAACATTCCCTTTCATACAGCAGGTTTGAAACACTCTTTCTGTAGTATCTGGAAGTGGACATTTCGAGCGCTTTCAGGCCCATGGTGAAAAAGGAAATATCTCCCCATAAAAACTAGACAGAAGCATTCGCAGAAACTTGTTTGTGATGTGTGTCCTCAACCAACAGAGTTGAACATTTCCTGTGACAGAGCAGTTTGGAAACACGCTTTTTGTAGAATCTGCAATTGGATATTTGGATAGCTTTGTGGATGTCGTTGGAAACGGGAGTATCTTCATATAAAACCTAGACGGAAACATTCTCCGAAACTCCTTTGTAATGTCTGCATTCACGTCACAGAGTTGAACATTCCCTTTCATAGAGCAGGTTTGAAACACTCTTTCTGAAGTATCTGGATGTCGACACTTGGAGCGCTTTGACGCTTACACTGAAAAAGGAAATAACTTCCCATGAAAACTAGACAGAAGCATTCTCACAAACTGGTTTGTGATGTATGTCCTCAACTAACAGAGTTGAACATTTCAATTTACAGAGCAGTTTTGAAAGACTCTATGTGGAGAATCTGCAAGTGGATATTCGGAGAGCTTTTATTGAAGAGCTTTAAGGATTTTATTGGGAACCGGAATATCTTCAGGTAAAAACTAGACAGAGGCATTCTCAGAAATTTCTTTGTGATGTGTGTACTCACCGACCAGAGTACAACCTGTCTTTTGATACAGCAGTTTGGAAACACTCTTTTTACAGAATCTGCAAGTGGATATTTGGATAGCTCTAACGATTTCGTGGGAAACGGGAACACCTTCATATAAAATCTAGACAGTGGCACTCTCAGAAACTGCTTTGTGATATCTGCATTCAAGTCACAGAGTTCAACATTTCCTTTCTTAAAGCAGGTTTAAAACACTCTTTTGGTAGTATCTGGAAGTGGACATTTGGAGCACTTTGACGCCTTTGGTGAAAAAGGAAATGTCTTCACATCAAAACTAGACCGAAGCATTCTAAGAAACTTCTTTGGGATATATGTACTCAACTCACAGAGTTGAACCTTTCTCTTTAGAGATCAGTTTTGAAAAGCTCTTTGTGTGGAATCTGCAAATGGATATTAGGATAGCTCTGAGGATTTCGTTGGAGACGGGATTATATATAAAAAGTAGACAGCAGCATTCTCAGGAGATTCTTTGTGATGTTTGCTTTTAAGTCACAGAGTTGAATATTCCCTTCCATAGAGCAGGTTTGAAACACTCTTTCTGTAGTATCTGGAAGTGGACATTTCGGGCGATTTCAGGCCTATGTGGAAAAAGGAAATATCTTCCCATAAAAACTAGACAGAACCATTCTCAGAAACTTCTTTGTGATGTGGGTCCTCAACTAACAGAGTTCAACCTTTCTTATGATACAGCAGCTTGGAAACACACTTTTTATACAATTTGCAACTGGATATATGAATAGCTCTAACTATTTCATTGGAAACGGGAATATCTTCATATAAAATCTCCACAGAAGCACTCTCAGAAACTACTTTGTGATATCTGCATTCATATCACAGAGTTGAATATTCCCTTTCTAAGAGCAGGTTTGAAACCGACTTTCTGTGGAATCTGCAGGAGGATATTTAGATAGCTTTGAGGATTTCTTTGGAATCGGGATTACATACACAAAGTAGACAGCTCTGTGTAGTTTTTATGGGAAGATATTTCCTTTTCCACCATAGGCCTGAAAGCGCTCGAAATGTCCACTTCCAGATACTACAGAAAGAGTGTTTCAAACCTGCTCTATGAAAGGGAATGTTTTATATTTGTATGTATCATATGCCAATTGTTACCTTTTTTGGCAGCACTGAAAATTCAGGTGATCTTAAACATCAGACAGATAACACAAATAAGTGGTCCAGGTAAGGACTGTGTGAAATAGAAAACATATCCTCTCTCAGAAAACAGTGAGAGGATATTGCTGATGTGCAGGCCTCTGGCTCTTTGTTGAGAAACAGTTATTGGAAATCAGATTTGTATTTGAAGTATTCCAGTTTTTAAATTAGCAACTATTTTCTTGCAACCCCAGCACTTTTGGAGGCCAAGATGGGCAGATTGCTTGAGCTCAGTAGTTCAAGACCAGCCTGGGCAACATGGCAAGACCCCATCTCTACCAAAAATACAAAAAATTAGCTGGGCATGGTGGCATGT
>NC_000018.10:20652527-20687421 GCF_000001405.40 Homo sapiens
AGCATTCGCAGAAACTTGTTTCTGATGTGTGTCCTCAACTAACGGAGTTGAACATTTCGTTTGACAGAGCAGTTTGGAAACACGCTTTCTGTAGAATCTGCAAGTGGATATTTGGATAGCTTTGTGGATTTCATTGGAAACGGGAGTATCTTCATATAAAATCTAGACAGAAACATTCTCAGAAACTGCTTTGTGATGTCTGCATTCAAGTCACAGAGTTGAACATTCCCTTTCATCGAGCAGGTTTGAAACACTCTTTTTGTAGTATCTGAATGTGGACATTTGGAGCGCTTTGATGCCTACGGTGAAAAAGGAAATATCTTCCCACAAAAACTAGACAGAAGCATTCGCAGAAACTTGTTTGTGATGTGTGTCCTCAACCAACAGAGTTGAACATTTCCTGTGACAGAGCAGTTTGGAAACACGCTTTTTGTAGAATCTGCAAGTGGATATTTGGATAGCTTTGTGGATTTTCCTTGGGAACGGGAGTATCTTCATATAAAACCTAGACGGAAGCATTCTCAGAAACTTCTTTGTGATGTGTGTCCTCAACTAACAGAGTTCAACCTCTCTTATGATACAGCAGTTTGGAAACACGCTTTTGGTAGAATATGCAATTGGATATTTGGATAGCTCTAAGTATTTCGTTGGAAACGGGGATATCTTCATACAAAATCTAGACAGAAGCACTCTCAGAAACTACTTTGTGATATCTGCATTCAAGTCACAGAGTTGAACATTCCCATTCATAGAGCAGGTTTGAAACACTCTTTCTGTAGTATCTGAAAGTGGACATTTCGAGCGCTTTCAGGGCTACGTTGAAAAAGGAAACATCTTCCCATAAAAACTAGACAGTAGCATTCTAAGAAACTTCTTGGCGATATATGTACTCACCTAACAGAGTTGAACCTTTCTATTGATAGATCAGTTTCGAAAAGCTCTTTTTGTGGAATCTGCAATTGGATATAAGGATAGTTCTGAGGATTTCGTTGGAGACGGGATTGCATATAAAAAGTAGACAGCAGCATTCTCAGAAGCTTCTTTGTGATGTTTGCTTTTAAGTCACAGAGTTGAATATTCCATTCCATAGAGCAGGTTTGAAACCCTCTTTCTCTACTATCTGGAAGTGGACATTTCGAGCGCTTTCAGGCCTATCGTGAACAAGGAAATATCGTCCCATAAAAACTAGACAGAAGCATTAGCAGAAAATTGTTTGTGATGTGTGCCCTCAACTCACAGAGTGGAACACTTCGTTTCACAGAGCAGTTTGGAAACACGCTTTTTGTAGAATTTGCATGTGGATATTTGGATAGCTTTGTGGATTTCGTTGGAAACGGAAGTATCCTCATATAAAAATTAGACAGAAACATTCTCAGAAACCGCTTTGTGATGTCTGCATTCACGTCACAGAGTTGAACATTCCCTTTCATAGAGCAGGTTTGAAACACTCTTTCTGTAGTATCTGGATGTGGACACTTGGAGCACATTGACGCTTACGGTAAAAAAGGAAATATCTTCCCATAAAAACTAGACAGAAGCATTCTCACAAACTGGTTTGTGATGTATGTCCTCAACTAACAGCGTTGAACCTTTCTATTTACAGAGCAGTTTTGAAAGACTCTTTTTGGAGAATCTGTAAGCGGATATTTGGAGAGCTTCAAGGATTTCATTTTAAACCGTAATATCTTCAGGTAAAATCTAGCCAGAGGCATTCTCAGAAACTTATTTATGATGTGTGTCCTCAACTAACAGAGTACAACCTATCTTTTGATACAGCAGTTTGGAAACACTCTTTTTGTAGAATCTGCAAGTGGATATTTCGATAGCTGTAACGATTTCGTTGGAAATGGGAATACCTTCATATAAAATCTAGAGAGCACTCTCCGAAAGTGCTTTGAGCTATCTGCTTTCAAGTCACAGAGTTGAACATTCCCTTTCTTAGAGAAGGTTTGAAACACTCTTTTTGTAGTATGTGTAAGTGGACACTTAGACCGCTTCGACCCCTTTGGTGAAAAAGGAAATGTCTTCCCATAAAAACTAGACAGAAGCATTCTAAGAAACTTCTTTGGGATATATGTACTCAACTAACAGAGTTGAACCTTTCTATTTCTGGGTCAGTTTTGAGAAGCTCTTTTTCTGTAATCTGCAAGTGGATATTCGGATAGCTCTGAGGATTTCCTTGGAAACGGGATTTCATATAAAATATAGACAGCAGCATTCTCAGAAGCTTCTTTGTGATGGTTGCTTTTAAGTCACAGAGTTGAATATTCCCTTCCATAGAGCAGGATTGAAACACTCTTTCTGTAGTATCCGGAAGTGGACATTTCGGGCGATTTCAGTCCTATGTTGAAAAAGGAAATATCATCCCATAAAAACTAGACAGAAGCATTCTCAGAAATTTCTTTGTGATGTGTGTCCTCAACTAACAGAGTTCAAACTGTCTTATGATACAGCAGTTTGGAAACACTCCTTTTGTAGAATATGCAAGTGGATATTTGGATAGCTCTAACTATTTCGTTGGAAACGGGAATATCTTCATATAAAATCTAGACACAAGCACTCTCAGAAACTACTTTCTGATATCTGCATTCAAGTCACAGAGTTGAATATTCCCTTTCTTAGAGCAGGTTTGAAACCGTCTTTTCGTGGAATCTGCAGGAGGATATTTGGATAGCTTTGAGGATTTCGTTGGAAAAGGGATTAAATATAAAAATAGAAAGCAGCATTCTCAGAAGCTTCTTTGTGATGTTTGCTTTTAAGTCACAGTGTTCAACATTCCCTTTCATAGAGCAGTTTTGAAACACTCTTTCTGTAGTATCTGGAAGTGGACATTTCGAGTGCTTTCAGGCCTATGGTGAAAAAGGAAATATCTTCCGATAAAAACTAGACAGAAGCATTCGCAGAAACTTGTTTGTGATATGTATCCTCAACTATCAGAGTTGAACATTTCATTTGACAGAGCAGTTTGGAAACACGCTTTTTGTAGAATCTGCAAGTGGATATTTGGATAGCTTTGTGGATTTCCTTGGAAACGGGAGTATCTTCATATAAAACCTAGACAGAAACATTCTCAGAAACTGCTATATGATGTCTGCATTCACGTCACAGAGTTGATCATTCCCTTTCATAGAGCAGGTTTGAAACACTCTTTCTGTACTATCTGGATGTGGACACTTGGAGCGCTTTGACGCTTAAGGTGCAAAAGAAATATCTTCCCATAAAAACTAGACAGAAGCATTCTCACAAACTGGATTGTGATGTTTGTCCTCAACTAACAGAGTTGAAACATTTTATTTGCAGAGCAGTTTTGAAAGACTGTTTTTGGAGAATCTTCAAGTGGATATTTGGAGAGCTTTAAGGAATTCATTGGAAACGGGAATATCTTCATATAAAATCTAGACAGAGGCATTCTCAGAAACTTCTTTGTGATGTGTGTCCTCAACTAACGGCGGTACATCCTGTCTTTTGATACAGCAGTTTGGAAACACTCTTTTTGTAGAATCTGCCAGTGGATATTTGCATAGCTCTAATGATTTCTTTGGAAACGGGAATACCTTCATATAAAATCTAGACAGAGGCACTCTCAGAAACTGCTTTGTGATATCTGCATTCAAGTCACACAGTTCAACATTCCCTTTCTTAGAGCAGGTTTGAAACACTCTTTTTGCAGGATCTGGAAGTGGACATTTGGAGCGCTTTGACGCCTTTGGTGATAAAGGAAATGTCTTCACATAAAAACTAGAAAGAAGCATTCTAAGAAACATCTTTGTGATATATGTACTCAACTAACCGAGTTGAACCTTGCTCTTTATAGATCAGCTTTTTAATGCTCTTTTTGTGGAATCTGCAAGTGGATATTTGGATAGCTTTCAGGATTTCGTTGGAAACGGGATTACAAACAAAATGTAGACAGCAGCATTCTCAGAAACTTCTTTGTGATGTTTGCTTTTAAGTCACAGAGTTGAACATTCCCTTCCATAGAGCAGTTTAGAAACACTCTTTCTATAGTATCTGGAAGTGGACATTTCGAGCGATTTCAGGCCTATGTTGAAAAACGAAATATCTTCCCATAAAAACTAGACAGTAGCATACTCAGAAGCTTCTTTGTGATGCTTGCTTTTAAGTCACAGAGTTGAACATTCCCTTTCGTAGAGCAGGTTTCAGACACTCTTTCTGTAGTATCTGGAAGTGGACATTTCGAGTGTTTTCAGGCCTATGGTGAACAAGGAAATATCTTCCCATAAAAACCAGACACAAGCATTTGCAGAAACTTGTTTGTGATGCGTGTCCTCAACTCACAGAATAGAACATTTCGTTTGACAGAGCAGCTTGGAAACACGCTTTTTGTAGAATCTGCAAGTGGATATTTGGATAGCTTTGTGGATTTCGTTGGAAACGGGAGAATCTCCATATAAAACCTAGACAGAAACATTCTCAGAAACTGCTTTGTGATGTCTGCATTCACGTTACAGAGTTGAATATTCCCCTTCATAGAGCAGGTTTGATACACTCTTTCTGTAGTATCTGGATGTGGACACTTGGAGCGCTTTGACGCTTACAGTGAAAAAGGAAATATCTTCCCATAAAAACTAGACAGAAGCATTCTCACAAACTGGTTTGTGATGTATGTCCTCATCTAACAGAGTTGAACTTTTCTATTTACAGAGCAGTTTTGAAAGACTCTTTTTGGAGAATCTGCAAGTGGATATTTCGAGAGCTTTAAGGATTTCACTGGAAACCCGAATATCTTCAGGTAAAATCTAGACAGAGGCATTCTCAGAAACCTCTTTGTGATGTGTGTCCTCAACTAACAAAGTACTACCTGGCTTTTGATACAGCAGTTTGGAAACACTCTTTTTGTACAATCTGCAAGTGGATATTTGGATAGCTCTAAAGATTTCGTAGGAAACGGGAATACCTTCATATAAAATCTAGACAGAGGCACTCTCAGAAACTGCTTTGTGATATCTGCATTCAAGTCACAGTGTTGAACATTCCCTTTCTGAGAGCAGGTTTGAACCACTCTTTTTGTAGTATCTGGAAGTGGACATTTGGAGCGCTTTGACGCCATTGGTGAAAAAGGAAATGTCTTCCCATAAAAACTAGACAGAAGCATTCTAAGAAACTTCTTTGGGATATATGTACTCAACTAACAGAGTTGAAACTTTCTATTTAGAGATCAGTTTTGAAAAGCTCTTTTTGTGGAATCTGCAAGTCGATGTTAGGATACCGCCGAAGATTTCGTTGGAGACGGGATTACATATAAAAATAGACAGCAGCATTCTCAAAAGCTTCTTTGTGATGTTTGCTTTTAAGTCACAGAGTTGAATATTCCCTTCCGTAGAGCAGGCTTGAAACACTCTTTCTGTAGTATCTGGAAGTGGACATTTCGAGCGCTTTCAGGCCTGTGTTGAAAAAGGAAACATCTTCCCAAAAAAACTAGACAGAAGCATTCTCAGAAACTTCTTTGTGATGTGTGTCCTCAACTAACAGAGTTCAACCTCTCTTATGATACAGCAGTTTGGAAACACTCTTTTTGTAGAATATGCAACTGGATATTTGGAGAGCTCTAACTATTTTGTTGGTAACGGGAATATCTTCATATAAAATCTAGACAGAAGCACTCTCAGGAACTACTTCGTGATATCTGCATTCAAGTCACAGAGTTGAATATTCCCTTTCTCAGAGCAGGTTTGAAACAGTCTTTTCTTGGAATCTGCAGGAGGATATTTGGATAGCTTTGAGGATTTCGTTGGAAACGGGATTACATATACAAAGTAGACAGCAGCATTCTCAGAGGCTTCTTTGTGATGTTTGCTTTTAAGTCACAGAGTTGAACATTCGCATTCATAGAGCAGGTTTGAAACACTCTTTCTGTAGTATCTGGAAGTGGACGTTTCGTGCGCTTCGACGCCATTGCTGAAAAAGGATATGTCTTCACATAAAAACTAGACAGAAGCATTCTCAGAAACTTCTTTGGGATATATGTACTCAACTAACGGAGTTGAATCATTCTATTTATAGATCAGTTTTCAAAAGCTCTTTTTATGGAATCTGCAAGTGGATATTCGGATAGCTCTGAGGATTTCGTTGGAGACTGGATTACATATATAAAGTAGACAGCAGCATTCTCAGAAGCTTCTTTGTGATGTTTGCTTTTAAGTCACAGAGTTGAATATTCCCTTCCATAGAGCAGGTCTGAAACACTCTTTCTGTAGTATCTGGATGTGGACACTTGGAGCGCTTTGACGCTTACGGTGAAAAAGGAAATATCTTCCCATAAAAACTAGACAGAAGCATTCGCAGAAACTTGTTTGTGATGTGTGTCCTCAACCAACAGAGTTGAACATTTCCTGTGACAGAGCAGTTTGGAAACACGCTTTTTGTAGAATCTGCAAGTGGATATTTGGATAGCTTTGTGGATTTTCCTTGGGAACGGGAGTATCTTCATATAAAACCTAGACGGAAGCATTCTCAAAAATTTCTTTGTGATGTGTGTCCTCAACTAACAGGGTTCAACCTTTCTTTTGATACAGCAGTTTGTAAACACTCTTTTTGTAGAATCTGCATGTGGATATTTGGATAGCTCTAACCATTTCATAGGAAACGAGAATAACTTCATATAAAATCTAGACAGAGGCACTCTCAGAAACTACTTTGTGATATCTGCGTTCAAGTCACAGAGTTGAACATTCCCTTTCTTAGAGCAGGTTTGAGACACTCTTTTTGTAGTATCTGGAAGTGGACATTTGGAGCGCTTTGACGCCTTTGGTGAAAAAGGAAATATCTTCCATAAAAACTAGACAGAAGCATTCTAAGAAACTTCTTGGCGATATATGTACTCACCTAACAGAGTTGAACCTTTCTATTGATAGATCAGTTTCGAAAAGCTCTTTTTGTGGAATCTGCAATTGGATATAAGGATAGTTCTGAGGATTTCGTTGGAGACGGGATTGCATATAAAAAGTAGACAGCAGCATTCTCAGAAGCTTCTTTGTGATGTTTGCTTTTAAGTCACAGAAGTTGAATATTCCCTTCCATAGAGCAGGTTTGAAACCCTCTTTCTCTACTATCTGGAAGTGGACATTTCGAGCGCTTTCAGGCCTATGGTGAACAAGGAAATATCGTCCCATAAAAACTAGACAGAAGCATTCGCAGAAACTTGTTTGTGATGTGTGTCCTCAACTCACAGAGTTGAACATTTCGTTTGACAGAGCAGTTTGGAAACACGATTTTTGTAGAATCTGCAAGTGGATATTTGGATGGCTTTGTGGATTTCGTTGGAAACGGGAGTATCTTCATAGAAAACCTAGACAGAAACATTCTCAGAAACTGCTTTGTGATATCTGCATTCACGTCACAGAGTTGAACATTCCCTTTCGTAGAGCAGGTTTGAAACACTCTTTCTGTAGTATCTGGATGTGGACACTTGGAGCGCTTGGACGCTTACGGTGAAAAAGGAAATATCTTCCCATAAAAACTAGACAGAAGCATTCTCACAAACTGGTTTGTGATGTATGTCCTCAACTAACAGCGTTGAACCTTTCTATTTACAGAGCAGTTTTGAAAGACTCTTTTTGGAGAATCTGTAAGCGGATATTTGGAGAGCTTCAAGGATTTCATTTTAAACCGTAATATCTTCAGGTAAAATCTAGCCAGAAGCATTCTCACAAACTGGTTTGTGATGTAGGTCCTCAACTAACAGAGTACAACCTGTCTTTTGATACAGCAGTATTGAAACACTCTTTCTGTAGAATCTGCAATTGGATCTTTGGATAGCTCTAACGATTTCGTTGGATAAGGGAATACCTTCATATAAAATCTAGACAGAGGCACTCTCCGAAAGTGCTTTGAGCTATCTGCTTTCAAGTCACAGAGTTGAACATTCCCTTTCTTAGAGAAGGTTTGAAACACTCTTTTTGTAGTATGTGTAAGTGGACACTTAGACCGCTTCGACCCCTTTGGTGAAAAAGGAAATGTCTTCCCATAAAAACTAGACAGAAGCATTCTAAGAAACTTCTTTGGGATATATGTACTCAACTAACAGAGTTGAACCTTTCTATTTCTGGGTCAGTTTTGAGAAGCTCTTTTTCTGTAATCTGCAAGTGGATATTCGGATAGCTCTGAGGATTTCCTTGGAAACGGGATTTCATATAAAATATAGACAGCAGCATTCTCAGAAGCTTCTTTGTGATGGTTGCTTTTAAGTCACAGAGTTGAATATTCCCTTCCATAGAGCAGGATTGAAACACTCTTTCTGTAGTATCCGGAAGTGGACATTTCGGGCGATTTCAGTCCTATGTTGAAAAAGGAAATATCATCCCATAAAAACTAGACAGAAGCATTCTCAGAAATTTCTTTGTGATGTGTGTCCTCAACTAACAGAGTTCATCCTTTCTTATGATACAGCAGTTTTGAAACACTCTTTTTGTAGAATATGTAAGTGGATAGTTGGATAGCTCTCATTATTTCATTGGAAACGGGAGTATCAACATAGAAAACCTAGACAGAAAAATTCTCAGAAACTGCTTTATGATGTCTGCATTCACGTCACAGAGTTGATCATTCCCTTTCATAGAGCAGGTTTGAAACCCTCTTTCCGTAGTATCTGGATGTGGACACTTGGAGCGCTTTGACGCTTACGGTGCAAAAGGAAATATCTTCCCATAAAAACTAGACAGAAGCATTCTCACAAACTGGATTGTGATGTTTGTCCTCAACTAACAGAGTTGAAACTTTCTATTTACAGAGCACTTTTGAAAGACTCTTTTTGGAGAATCTGCAAGTGGATATTTGGAGAGCTTTAAGGATTTCATTGGAAACGGGAATATCTTCATATAAAATCTAGACAGAGGCATTCTCAGAAACTTCTTTGTGATGTGTGTCCTCAACCAACGGAGTACATCCTGTCTTTTGATACAGCAGTTTGGAAACACTCTTTTTGTAGAATCTGCAAGTGGATATTTGGATAGCTCTAACGATTTCGTTGGAAACGGGAATATCTTCATAAAAAATCTAGACAGAGGCACTCTCAGAAACTGCTTTGTGATATCTGCATTCAAGTCACACAGTTCAACATTCCCTTTCTTAGAGCAGGTTTGAAACACTCTTTTTGCAGGATCTGGAAGTGGACATTTGGAGCGCTTTGACGCCTTTGGTGATAAAGGAAATGTCTTCACATAAAAACTAGAAAGAAGCATTCTAAGAAACATCTTTGTGATATATGTACTCAACTAACCGAGTTGAACCTTGCTCTTTATAGATCAGCTTTTTAATGCTCTTTTTGTGGAATCTGCAAGTGGATATTTGGATAGCTTTCAGGATTTCGTTGGAAACGGGATTACAAACAAAATGTAGACAGCAGCATTCTCAGAAACTTCTTTGTGATGTTTGCTTTTAAGTCACAGAGTTGAACATTCCCTTCCATAGAGCAGTTTAGAAACACTCTTTCTATAGTATCTGGAAGTGGACATTTCGAGCGATTTCAGGCCTATGTTGAAAAACGAAATATCTTCCCATAAAAACTAGACAGTAGCATACTCAGAAGCTTCTTTGTGATGCTTGCTTTTAAGTCACAGAGTTGAACATTCCCTTTCGTAGAGCAGGTTTCAGACACTCTTTCTGTAGTATCTGGAAGTGGACATTTCGAGTGTTTTCAGGCCTATGGTGAACAAGGAAATATCTTCCCATAAAAACCAGACACAAGCATTTGCAGAAACTTGTTTGTGATGCGTGTCCTCAACTCACAGAAATAGAACATTTCGTTTGACAGAGCAGCTTGGAAACACGCTTTTTGTAGAATCTGCAATTGGATATTTGGATAGCTTTGTGGATTTCTTTGGAAACGGGAGTATCTTCATATAAAACCTAGACGGAAACATTCTCAGAAACTCCTTTGTAATGTCTGCATTCACGTCACAGATTTGAACATTCCCTTTCATAGAGCAGGTTTGAAACACTCTTTCCGAAGTATCTGGATGTGGACACTTGGAGCGCTTTGACGCTTACGGTGAAAAGGAAATAACTTCCCATGAAAACTAGACAGAAGCATTCTCACAAACTGGTGTGTGATGTATGTCCTCAGCTAACAGAGTTAAACCTTTCTATTTACAGAGCAGTTTTCAAAGACTCTTTTTGGAGAATCTGCAAGTGGATATCTGGAGATCTTTAAGGATTTCATTGGAAACCGGAATATCTTCAGGTAAAATCTAGACAGAGGCATTCTCGGAAACTTCTTCGTGATGTGCGTCCTCAACTAACAGAGTACAACCTGTCTTTTGATACATCAGTTTGGAAACACTCTTTTTGTAGAATCTGCAAGAGGATATTTGGATAGCTCTAGCGATTTCGATGGATACGGGAATACCTTCATATGAAATCTAGACAGAGGCACTCTCAGAAACTGCTTTGTGATATCTGCATTCAAGTCACAGAGTTGAACATTCCCTTTCTTAGAGCAGGTTTGAAACTCTCTTTTTGTAGTATCTGGAAGTGGACACTTGGAGCGCTTTGACGCCTTTGGTGAAAAAGGAAATGTCTTCCCATAAAAACTAGACAGAAGCATTCTAAGAAACTTCTTTGGGATATATGTACTCAACTAACAGAGTTGAACCTTTCTATTTAGAGATCAGTTTTAAAAAGCTCTTTTTGTGGAATCCGCAAGTGGATATTAGAATAGCTCTGAGGATTTCGTTGGAGACGGGATTACGTATAAAAAGTAGACAGCAGCATTCTCAAAAGCTTCTTTGTGATCTTTGCTTTTAAATCGCAGAGTTCAATATTCCCTTCCGTAGAGAAGGTTTGAAACACTCTTTCTGTAGTATCTGGAAGTGGACATTTCGAGCGATTTCAGGCCTGTGTTGAAAAAGGAAATATCTTCCAATAAAAACTAGACGGAAGCATTCTCAAAAATTTCTTTGTGATGTGCGTCCTCAACTAACAGAGTTCATCCTTTCTTATGATACAGCAGTTTATAAACACTCTTTTTGTAGAATCTGCAAGTGGATATTTGCATAGCTCTAACCATTTCATAGGAAACGGGAATACCTTCATATAAAATCTAGACAGAGGCACCCTCAGAAACTGCTTTGTGATATCTGCATTCAAGTCACAGAGTTGAACATTCCCTTTCTTAGAGCAGGTTTGAGACAATCTATTTGTAGTATCTGGTAGTGGACATTTGGAGCGCTTTGACGCCTTTGGTGAAAAAGGAAATATCTTCCATAAAAACTAGACAGAAGCATTCCAAGAATCTTCCTTGCGATATATGTACTCAACTACCAGAGTTGAACCTTTCTATTGATAGATCAGTTTTGAAAAGCTCTTTTTGTGGAATCTGCAATTGGATATAAGGATAGTTCTGAGGATTTCGTTGGAGACGGGATTGCATATAAAAAGTAGACAGCAGCATTCTCAGAAGCTTCTTTGTGATGTTTGCTTTTAAGTCACAGAGTTGAATATTCCCTTCCATAGAGCAGGTTTGAAACCCTCTTTGTCTACTATCTGGAAGTGGACATTTCGAGCGCTTTCAGGCCTATGGTGAACAAGGAAATATCGTCCCATAAAAACTAGACAGAAGCATTCGCAGAAACTTGTTTGTGATGTGTGTCCTCATCTCACAGAGGTGACCATTTCGTTTGACAGAGCAGTTTGGAAACACGCTTTTTGCAGAATACGCAAGTGGATATTTGGATAGCTGTAACGATTTCGTTGGATACGGGAATAACTTCATATAAATTCTAGACAGAGGCACTCTCAGAAACTGCTTTTTGATATCTGCATTCAAGTCACGGAGTTGAACATTCTCTTTCTTAGAGCAGGTTTGAAACACTCTTTTTGTAGTATCTGGAAGTGGACATTTGGAGGGCTTTGACGCCTTTGGTGAAAAAGGAAATGTCTTCCCATAAAAACTAGACAGAAGCATTCTAAGAAACTTCTTTGGGATATATGTACTCAACTAACAGAGTTGAACCTTTCTCTTTATAGATCAGTTTTGAAAAGCTCTTTTTGTGGAATCTGCAAGTGGATATTAAAATAGCTCTGAGGATTTCGTTGGAGACGGGATGACATATAAAAAGTAGACAGCAGCATTCTCAGAAGCGTCTTTGTGATGTTTGCTTTTAAGTCACAGAGTTGAATTTTCCCTTCCATAGAGCAGGTTTGAAACAATCTTTCTGTAGTATCTGGAAGTGGACATTTCGAGCGCTTTCAGGCCTATGTTGAAAAATTAAATATCTTCTCATAAAAACTATACAGAAGCATTCTCAGAAACTTCTTTGTGATGTGTGTCCTCAACTAACAGAGTTCAACCTCTCTTATGATACAGAAGTTTGGAAACACTCTTTCTGTAGAACATGCAAGGGGATATTTGGATAGCTCGAAGAATTTCGTTGGAAACGGGAATACCTTCATATAAAATCTAGACAGAAGCACTCTCAGAAACTACTTTGTGATATCTGCATTCAAGTCACAGAGTTGAAAATTCCCTTTCTTAGACCAGGTTTTAAACCGTCTTCTCGTGGAATCTGCAGGAGGATATTTCGATAGCCTTGAGGGTTTAGTTGGAAACGGGATTACATATACAAAGTAGACAGCAGCATTCTCAGAAGCTTCTTTGTGATGTTTGCTTGTAAGTCACAGAGTTGAACATTCTCTTTCATAGAGCAGGTTTGAAACACTCTTCCTGTAGTATCTGGAAGTGGACATTTCGAGCGCTTTCAGGCCTATGGTGAACAAGGAAATATCTTCCCATAAAAACTAGATAGAAGCATTCGCAGAAACTTCTTTGTGATGTGTGTCCTCAACTCACAGAGTCGAACATTTCGTTTGACAGAGCAGTTTGGAAACACGCTTTTTGTAGAATCTGCAAGTGGATATTTGGATAGCTTTGCGGATTTTGCTTGAAACGGGAGTATCTTCCTATTAAACCTAGACAGAAACATTCTCAGAAACTGCTTTGTGATGTCTGCATTCACGTCACGGAGTTGAACATTCCCTTTCATAGAGCAGGTTTGAAACTCCCTTTCTGTAGTATCTGGATGTGGACACTTGGAGGGCTTTGACGCTTACGGTGAAAAAGGAAATATGTTCCCATGAAAACTAGACAGAAGCATTCTCACAAACTGGTTTGTGATGTATGTCCTCAACTAACAGACTTGAACCTTTCTATTTACAGAGCAGTTTTGAAAGACACTTTTTGGAGACTCTGCAAGTGGATATTTGGAGAGCTTTAAGGATTTCACTGGAAACCGGAATATCTTGAGGAAAAATCTAGACAGAGGCATTCTCAGAAACTTCTTTGTGATGTGTGTCCTCAACTAACAGAGTACAACTTGTCTTCTGATACAGCAGTTTCGAAACACTCTTTTTGTAGAAACTCCAAGAGGATATTTCGATAGCTCTAACGGTTTCGTTGGAAACCGGAATACCTTCATATAAAATTTAGCAGAGGCACTCTCAGAAACTGCTTTGTGATATCTGCATTCAAGTCACAGAGTTGAACATTCCCTTTCTTAGAGCAGGTTTGAAACACCCTTTTTGTAGTATCTGGAAGTGGACATTTGGAGCGCTTTGACGCCTCTGGTGAAAAAGGAAAGGTCTTCCCATAAAAACTAGACAGAAGCATTCTAAGGAACTTCTTTGGGATATATGTACTCAACTAACACAGTTGAACCTTTCTATTTATAGATCAGTTTTGAAAAGCTCTTTTTGTGGAATCCGCATGTGGATATTAGGATAGCACTGAGGATTTCGTTGGAGACGGGATTACGTATAAAAAGTAGACAGCAGCATTCTCAGAAGCTTCTTTGTGATGTTTGCTTTTAAATCGCAGAGTTCAATATTCCCTTCCATAGAGCAGGTTTGAGACACTCTTTCTGTAGTATCTGGAAGTGGACATTTCGAGCGATTTCAGGCCTAGGTTGAAAAAGGAAATATCTTCCAATAAAAATTAGACGGAAGCATTCTCAAAAATTTCTTTGTGATGTGTGTCCTCAACTAACAGGGTTCAACCTTTCTTTTGATACAGCAGTTTGTAAACACTCTTTTTGTAGAATCTGCATGTGGATATTTGGATAGCTCTAACCATTTCATAGGAAACGAGAATAACTTCATATAAAATCTAGACAGAGGCACTCTCAGAAACTACTTTGTGATATCTGCGTTCAAGTCACAGAGTTGAACATTCCCTTTCTTAGAGCAGGTTTGAGACACTCTTTTTGTAGTATCTGGAAGTGGACATTTGGAGCGCTTTGACGCCTTTGGTGAAAAAGGAAATATCTTCCATAAAAACTAGACAGAAGCATTCTAAGAAACTTCTTGGCGATATATGTACTCACCTAACAGAGTTGAACCTTTCTATTGATAGATCAGTTTCGAAAAGCTCTTTTTGTGGAATCTGCAATTGGATATAAGGATAGTTCTGAGGATTTCGTTGGAGACGGGATTGCATATAAAAAGTAGACAGCAGCATTCTCAGAAGCTTCTTTGTGATGTTTGCTTTTAAGTCACAGAGTTGAATATTCCCTTCCATAGAGCAGGTTTGAAACCCTCTTTCTCTACTATCTGGAAGTGGACATTTCGAGCGCTTTCAGGCCTATGGTGAACAAGGAAATATCGTCCCATAAAAACTAGACAGAAGCATTAGCAGAAAATTGTTTGTGATGTGTGCCCTCAACTCACAGAGTGGAACACTTCGTTTCACAGAGCAGTTTGGAAACACGCTTTTTGTAGAATTTGCATGTGGATATTTGGATAGCTTTGTGGATTTCGTTGGAAACGGAAGTATCCTCATATAAAAATTAGACAGAAACATTCTCAGAAACCGCTTTGTGATGTCTGCATTCACGTCACAGAGTTGAACATTCCCTTTCATAGAGCAGGTTTGAAACACTCTTTCTGTAGTATCTGGATGTGGACACTTGGAGCACATTGACGCTTACGGTAAAAAAGGAAATATCTTCCCATAAAAACTAGACAGAAGCATTCTCACAAACTGGTTTGTGATGTATGTCCTCAACTAACAGCGTTGAACCTTTCTATTTACAGAGCAGTTTTGAAAGACTCTTTTTGGAGAATCTGTAAGCGGATATTTGGAGAGCTTCAAGGATTTCATTTTAAACCGTAATATCTTCAGGTAAAATCTAGCCAGAGGCATTCTCAGAAACTTCTTTGTGATGTGTGTCCTCAACTGACAGAGTACAACCTGTCTTTTGATACAGCAGTTTGGAAACACTCTTTTTGTAGAATCTGCAAGTGGATATTTGGTTAGCTCTAACGATTTCGTTGGAAACGGGAATACCTTCATATAAAATCTAGACAGTGCACTCTCCGAAAGTGCTTTGAGCTATCTGCTTTCAAGTCACAGAGTTGAACATTCCCTTTCTTAGAGAAGGTTTGAAACACTCTTTTTGTAGTATGTGTAAGTGGACACTTAGACCGCTTCGACCCCTTTGGTGAAAAAGGAAATGTCTTCCCATAAAAACTAGACAGAAGCATTCTAAGAAACTTCTTTGGGATATATGTACTCAACTAACAGAGTTGAACCTTTCTATTTCTGGGTCAGTTTTGAGAAGCTCTTTTTCTGTAATCTGCAAGTGGATATTCGGATAGCTCTGAGGATTTCCTTGGAAACGGGATTTCATATAAAATATAGACAGCAGCATTCTCAGAAGCTTCTTTGTGATGGTTGCTTTTAAGTCACAGAGTTGAATATTCCCTTCCATAGAGCAGGATTGAAACACTCTTTCTGTAGTATCCGGAAGTGGACATTTCGGGCGATTTCAGTCCTATGTTGAAAAAGGAAATATCATCCCATAAAAACTAGACAGAAGCATTCTCAGAAATTTCTTTGTGATGTGTGTCCTCAACTAACAGAGTTCAAACTGTCTTATGATACAGCAGTTTGGAAACACTCCTTTTGTAGAATATGCAAGTGGATATTTGGATAGCTCTAACTATTTCGTTGGAAACGGGAATATCTTCATATAAAATCTAGACACAAGCACTCTCAGAAACTACTTTCTGATATCTGCATTCAAGTCACAGAGTTGAATATTCCCTTTCTTAGAGCAGGTTTGAAACCGTCTTTTCGTGGAATCTGCAGGAGGATATTTGGATAGCTTTGAGGATTTCGTTGGAAAAGGGATTAAATATAAAAATAGAAAGCAGCATTCTCAGAAGCTTCTTTGTGATGTTTGCTTTTAAGTCACAGTGTTCAACATTCCCTTTCATAGAGCAGTTTTGAAACACTCTTTCTGTAGTATCTGGAAGTGGACATTTCGAGTGCTTTCAGGCCTATGGTGAAAAAGGAAATATCTTCCGATAAAAACTAGACAGAAGCATTCGCAGAAACTTGTTTGTGATATGTATCCTCAACTATCAGAGTTGAACATTTCATTTGACAGAGCAGTTTGGAAACACGCTTTTTGTAGAATCTGCAAGTGGATATTTGGATAGCTTTGTGGATTTCCTTGGAAACGGGAGTATCTTCATATAAAACCTAGACAGAAACATTCTCAGAAACTGCTATATGATGTCTGCATTCACGTCACAGAGTTGATCATTCCCTTTCATAGAGCAGGTTTGAAACACTCTTTCTGTACTATCTGGATGTGGACACTTGGAGCGCTTTGACGCTTAAGGTGCAAAAGAAATATCTTCCCATAAAAACTAGACAGAAGCATTCTCACAAACTGGATTGTGATGTTTGTCCTCAACTAACAGAGTTGAAACTTTCTATTTACAGAGCACTTTTGAAAGACTCTTTTTGGAGAATCTGCAAGTGGATATTTGGAGAGCTTTAAGGATTTCATTGGAAACGGGAATATCTTCATATAAAATCTAGACAGAGGCATTCTCAGAAACTTCTTTGTGATGTGTGTCCTCAACCAACGGAGTACATCCTGTCTTTTGATACAGCAGTTTGGAAACACTCTTTTTGTAGAATCTGCAAGTGGATATTTGGATAGCTCTAACGATTTCGTTGGAAACGGGAATATCTTCATAAAAAATCTAGACAGAGGCACTCTCAGAAACTGCTTTGTGATATCTGCATTCAAGTCACACAGTTCAACATTCCCTTTCTTAGAGCAGGTTTGAAACACTCTTTTTGCAGGATCTGGAAGTGGACATTTGGAGCGCTTTGACGCCTTTGGTGATAAAGGAAATGTCTTCACATAAAAACTAGAAAGAAGCATTCTAAGAAACATCTTTGTGATATATGTACTCAACTAACCGAGTTGAACCTTGCTCTTTATAGATCAGCTTTTTAATGCTCTTTTTGTGGAATCTGCAAGTGGATATTTGGATAGCTTTCAGGATTTCGTTGGAAACGGGATTACAAACAAAATGTAGACAGCAGCATTCTCAGAAACTTCTTTGTGATGTTTGCTTTTAAGTCACAGAGTTGAACATTCCCTTCCATAGAGCAGTTTAGAAACACTCTTTCTATAGTATCTGGAAGTGGACATTTCGAGCGATTTCAGGCCTATGTTGAAAAACGAAATATCTTCCCATAAAAACTAGACAGTAGCATACTCAGAAGCTTCTTTGTGATGCTTGCTTTTAAGTCACAGAGTTGAACATTCCCTTTCGTAGAGCAGGTTTCAGACACTCTTTCTGTAGTATCTGGAAGTGGACATTTCGAGTGTTTTCAGGCCTATGGTGAACAAGGAAATATCTTCCCATAAAAACCAGACACAAGCATTTGCAGAAACTTGTTTGTGATGCGTGTCCTCAACTCACAGAATAGAACATTTCGTTTGACAGAGCAGCTTGGAAACACGCTTTTTGTAGAATCTGCAAGTGGATATTTGGATAGCTTTGTGGATTTCGTTGGAAACGGGAGAATCTCCATATAAAACCTAGACAGAAACATTCTCAGAAACTGCTTTGTGATGTCTGCATTCACGTTACAGAGTTGAATATTCCCCTTCATAGAGCAGGTTTGATACACTCTTTCTGTAGTATCTGGATGTGGACACTTGGAGCGCTTTGACGCTTACAGTGAAAAAGGAAATATCTTCCCATAAAAACTAGACAGAAGCATTCTCACAAACTGGTTTGTGATGTATGTCCTCATCTAACAGAGTTGAACTTTTCTATTTACAGAGCAGTTTTGAAAGACTCTTTTTGGAGAATCTGCAAGTGGATATTTCGAGAGCTTTAAGGATTTCACTGGAAACCCGAATATCTTCAGGTAAAATCTAGACAGAGGCATTCTCAGAAACCTGTTTGTGATGTGTGTCCTCAACTATCAAAGTACAACCTGTCTTTTGATACAGGAGTTTCATAACACTCTTTTTGTAGAATCTGCAAGAGGATATTTGGATATCTCTAACGTTTTCGTTGGAAACGGGAATACCTTCATATAAAATCTAGACAGCGGCACTCTCAGAAACTGCTTTGTGATATCTACATTCAAGTCACAGAGTTGAACATTCCCTTTCTTAGAGCAGGTTTGAAACACTCTTTTGGTAGTATCTGGAAGTGGAAATTTGGAGCGCTTTGACGCCTTTGGTGAAAAAGGAAATGTCTTCCCATCAAAACTAGACAGAAGCATTCTAAGAAACTTCTTTGGGATATATGTACTCAACTAACAGAGTTGAACCTTTCTCTTTATAGATCAGTTTTGAAAAGCTCTTTGTGTGGAATCTGCAAATGGTTATTAGGATAGCTCTGAGGATTTCGTTGGAGACGGGATTACATATAAAAAGTAGACAGCAGCATTCTCAGGAGCTTCTTTGTGATGATTGCTTTTAAGTCACAGAGTTGAATATTCCCTTCCATAGGGCAGGTTTGAAACACTCTTTCTGTAGTATCTGGAAGTGGACATTTCGAGCGATTTGAGGCTTATGTGGAAAAAGGAAATATCTTCCCATAAAAACTAGACAGAAGCATTCTCAGAAACTTCTTTGTGATGTGTGTCCTCAACTAACAGAGTTCAACCTCTCTTATGATACAGCAGTTTGGAAACACTCTTTTTGTAGAATATGCAACTGGATATTTGGAGAGCTCTAACTATTTTGTTGGTAACGGGAATATCTTCATATAAAATCTAGACAGAAGCACTCTCAGAAACTACTTTGTGATATCTGCATTCAAGTCACAGAGTTGAATATTCCCTTTCTTAGAGCAGGTTTGAAACCGTCTTTTCGTGGAATCTGCAGGAGGATATTTGGATAGCTTTGAGGATTTCGTAGGAAACGGGATTACATATACAAAGTGGACAGCAGCATTCTCAGAAGCTTCTTTGTGATGTTTGCTTTTAAGTCACAGAGTTGAACATTCCCTTTCATAGAGCAGGTTTCAAACACTCTTTCTGTAATATCTGGAAGTGGCCATTTCGAGCGCTTTCAGGCCTATGGTGAACAAGGAAATATCTTCCCATAAAAACTAAACAGAAGCCTTCGCAGAAACTTGTTTGTGATGTGTGTCCTCAACTCACAGAGTTGAACATTTCGTTTGACAGAGCAGTTTGGAAACACGCTTTTTGTAGAATCTGCAAGTGGATATTTGGATAGCTTTGTGGATTTCCTTGGAAACGGGAGTATCTTCATATAAAACCTAGAAAGAAACATTCTCAGAAACTGCTTTGTGATGTCTGTATTCACGTCACAGAGTTGAATATTTCCTTTCATAGAGCAGGTTTGAAACACTCTTTCTGTAGTACCTGGATGTGGACACTTGGAGCGCTTTGAGGCTTACGGTGCAAAAGGAAATATCTTCCAATGAAAACTAGACAGAAGCATTCTCAAAAACTAGTTTGTGATGTATTTCCTCAACTAACAGAGTTGAACCTTTCTATTTACAGAGTAGTTTTGAAAGACTCTTTTTGGAGAATCTGCAAGTGGATATTTGGAGAGCTTTAAGGATTTCATTGTAAACCGGAATATCTTCAGGTAAAATCTAGACAGAGGCATTCTCAGAAACTTCTTTGTGACGTGTGTCCTCAACTAACAGAGTTCAGCCTTTGTTATGATACAGCAGTTTGGAAACACTCTTTTTGTACTATCAGGAAGTGGACTTCTGGAGCGCTTTGACACCTTTGGTGATAAAGAGATGTCTTCCCATAAAAACCAGACGGAAGCATTCTAAGAGAATTCTTTGGGATATACGTACTCAACTAACAGAGTTGAACCTTTCTATTTATAGATCAGTCTTGAAAAGCTCTTTTCGTGGAATCTGCAAGTGAATCTTAGGATAGCTCTGAGGATTGCGTTGGAAACGGGATTACATATAAAAAGTAGACAGCAGCATTCTCAGAAACTTCTTTGTGATGTTTGCTTTTAAGTCACAGAGTTCAATATTCCCTTCCATAGAGCCGGTTTGAAACACTTTTTTTGTAGTATCTGGAAGTGGACATTTCGAGCGATTTCAGGCCTATGTTGAAAAAGGAAACATCTTCCCATAAAAACAAGACAGAAGCATTCTCAGAAACTTCTTTGTGATGTGTGTCCTCAACTAACAGAGTTCAACCTCTCTTATAATACAGCAGTTTGAAAAAACACTTTTTGTAGAATATGCAAGTGGATATTTGAACAGCTCTAACTATTTCGTTCGAAATGGGAATATCTTCATATAAAATCTAGACAGAAGCACTCTCAGAAACTACTTTGTGATATCTGTATTCAAGTCACAGAGTTGAATATTCCCTTTCTTAGAGCAGGTTTGAAACCGTCTTTTCGTGGAATCTGCAGGAGGATATTTGGATAGCTTTGAGGATTTCGTTGGAAACGGGATTACATGTACAAAGTAGACAGCAGCATTCTCAGAAGCTTCTCTGTGATGTTTGCTTTTAAGTCACAGAGTTGAGCATTCCCTTTCATAGAGCAGGTTTGAAACACTCTTTCTGTAGTATCTGGAAGTGGACATTTCGAGGGCTTTCAGGCCTATGGTGAAAAAGGAAATATCTTCCCATAAAAACTAGACAGAAGCATTCGCAGAAACTTGTTTGTGATGTGTGTCCTCAACCAACAGAGTTGAACATTTCCTGTGACAGAGCAGTTTGGAAACACGCTTTTTGTAGAATCTGCAAGTGGATATTTGGATAGCTTTGTGGATTTTCCTTGGGAACGGGAGTATCTTCATATAAAACCTAGACGGAAACATTCTCCGAAACTCCTTTGTAATGTCTGCATTCACGTCACAGAGTTGAACATTCCCTTTCATAGAGCAGGTTTGAAACACTCTTTCTGAAGTATCTGGATGTGGACACTTGGAGCGCTTTGACGCTTACGGTGAAAAAAGGAATAACTTCCCATGAAAACTAGACAGAAGCATTCTCACAAACTGGTTTGTGATGTATGTCCTCAACTAACAGAGTTGAACCTTTCTATTTACAGAGCAGTTTTCAAAGACTCTTTTTGGAGAATCTGCAAGTGGATATCTGGAGATCTTTAAGGATTTCACTGGAAACCGGAATATCTTCAGGTAAAATCTAGACAGAAGCATTCTCACAAACTGGTTTGTGATGTAGGTCCTCAACTAACAGAGTACAACCTGTCCTTTGATACAGCAGTATTGAAACACTCTTTCTGTAGAATCTGCAATTGGATCTTTGGATAACTCTAGCGATTTCGATGGATACGGGAATAACTTCATATGAAATCTAGACCGAGGCACTCTCAGAAACTGCTTTGTGTTATCTGCATTCAAGTCACAGAGTTGAACATTCCCTTTCTTCGGGCAGGTTTGAAACACTCTTTTTGTAGTATCTGGAAGTGGACATTTGGAGCGCTTTGACGCCTTTTGTGAAAAAGGAAATGTCTTCACATAAAAACTAGACAGAAGCATTCTAAGAAACTTCTTTGGGATATATGTACACAACTAACGGAGTTGAATCATTCTATTTATAGATCAGTTTTCAAACGCTCTTTTTATGGAATCTGTAAGTGGATATTCGGATAACTCTGAGGATTTCGTTGGAGACGGGATTACATATAAAAAGTAGACAGCAGCATTCTCCGAAGCTACTTTGTGATGTTTGCTTTTAAGTCACAGAGTTGAACATTCCCTTTCAGAGAGCAGGTTTGAAACACTCTTTCTTTAACATCTGGAAGTGGACATTTCGAGCGCTTTCAGGCCTATGATGAAAAAGGAAATATCTTCCCATAAAAACTAGACAGAAGCATTCGCAGAAACTTGTTTGTGATGTGTGTCCTCAACCAACAGAGTTGAACATTTCCTGTGACAGAGCAGTTTGGAAACACGCTTTTTGTAGAATCTGCAAGTGGATATTTGGATAGCTTTGTGGATTTTCCTTGGGAACGGGAGTATCTTCATATAAAACCTAGACGGAAACATTCTCAGAAACTGCTTTGTGATGTCTGCATTCAAGTCACAGAGTTGAACATTCCCTTTCATCGAGCAGGTTTGAAACACTCTTTTTGTAGTATCTGAATGTGGACATTTGGAGCGCTTTGATGCCTACGGTGAAAAAGGAAATATCTTCCCACAAAAACTAGACAGAAGCATTCTCACAAACTGGTTTGTGATGTATGTCCTCAACTAACAGCGTTGAACCTTTCTATTTACAGAGCAGTTTTGAAAGACTCTTTTTGGAGAATCTGTAAGCGGATATTTGGAGAGCTTCAAGGATTTCATTTTAAACCGTAATATCTTCAGGTAAAATCTAGCCAGAGGCATTCTCAGAAACTTATTTATGATGTGTGTCCTCAACTAACAGAGTACAACCTATCTTTTGATACAGCAGTTTGGAAACACTCTTTTTGTAGAATCTGCAAGTGGATATTTCGATAGCTGTAACGATTTCGTTGGAAATGGGAATACCTTCATATAAAATCTAGAGAGGCACTCTCCGAAAGTGCTTTGAGCTATCTGCTTTCAAGTCACAGAGTTGAACATTCCCTTTCTTAGAGAAGGTTTGAAACACTCTTTTTGTAGTATGTGTAAGTGGACACTTAGACCGCTTCGACCCCTTTGGTGAAAAAGGAAATGTCTTCCCATAAAAACTAGACAGAAGCATTCTAAGAAACTTCTTTGGGATATATGTACTCAACTAACAGAGTTGAACCTTTCTATTTCTGGGTCAGTTTTGAGAAGCTCTTTTTCTGTAATCTGCAAGTGGATATTCGGATAGCTCTGAGGATTTCCTTGGAAACGGGATTTCATATAAAATATAGACAGCAGCATTCTCAGAAGCTTCTTTGTGATGGTTGCTTTTAAGTCACAGAGTTGAATATTCCCTTCCATAGAGCAGGATTGAAACACTCTTTCTGTAGTATCCGGAAGTGGACATTTCGGGCGATTTCAGTCCTATGTTGAAAAAGGAAATATCATCCCATAAAAACTAGACAGAAGCATTCTCAGAAATTTCTTTGTGATGTGTGTCCTCAACTAACAGAGTTCATCCTTTCTTATGATACAGCAGTTTTGAAACACTCTTTTTGTAGAATATGTAAGTGGATAGTTGGATAGCTCTCATTATTTCATTGGAAACGGGAGTATCAACATAGAAAACCTAGACAGAAGCACTCTCAGAAACTACTTTCTGATATCTGCATTCAAGTCACAGAGTTGAATATTCCCTTTCTTAGAGCAGGTTTGAAACCGTCTTTTCGTGGAATCTGCAGGAGGATATTTGGATAGCTTTGAGGATTTCGTTGGAAAAGGGATTAAATATAAAAATAGAAAGCAGCATTCTCAGAAGCTTCTTTGTGATGTTTGCTTTTAAGTCACAGTGTTCAACATTCCCTTTCATAGAGCAGTTTTGAAACACTCTTTCTGTAGTATCTGGAAGTGGACATTTCGAGTGCTTTCAGGCCTATGGTGAAAAAGGAAATATCTTCCGATAAAAACTAGACAGAAGCATTCGCAGAAACTTGTTTGTGATATGTATCCTCAACTATCAGAGTTGAACATTTCATTTGACAGAGCAGTTTGGAAACACGCTTTTTGTAGAATCTGCAAGTGGATATTTGGATAGCTTTGTGGATTTCCTTGGAAACGGGAGTATCTTCATATAAAACCTAGACAGAAACATTCTCAGAAACTGCTATATGATGTCTGCATTCACGTCACAGAGTTGATCATTCCCTTTCATAGAGCAGGTTTGAAACACTCTTTCTGTACTATCTGGATGTGGACACTTGGAGCGCTTTGACGCTTAAGGTGCAAAAGAAATATCTTCCCATAAAAACTAGACAGAAGCATTCTCACAAACTGGATTGTGATGTTTGTCCTCAACTAACAGAGTTGAAACATTTTATTTGCAGAGCAGTTTTGAAAGACTGTTTTTGGAGAATCTTCAAGTGGATATTTGGAGAGCTTTAAGGAATTCATTGGAAACGGGAATATCTTCATATAAAATCTAGACAGAGGCATTCTCAGAAACTTCTTTGTGATGTGTGTCCTCAACTAACGGCGGTACATCCTGTCTTTTGATACAGCAGTTTGGAAACACTCTTTTTGTAGAATCTGCCAGTGGATATTTGCATAGCTCTAATGATTTCTTTGGAAACGGGAATACCTTCATATAAAATCTAGACAGAGGCACTCTCAGAAACTGCTTTGTGATATCTGCATTCAAGTCACACAGTTCAACATTCCCTTTCTTAGAGCAGGTTTGAAACACTCTTTTTGCAGGATCTGGAAGTGGACATTTGGAGCGCTTTGACGCCTTTGGTGATAAAGGAAATGTCTTCACATAAAAACTAGAAAGAAGCATTCTAAGAAACATCTTTGTGATATATGTACTCAACTAACCGAGTTGAACCTTGCTCTTTATAGATCAGCTTTTTAATGCTCTTTTTGTGGAATCTGCAAGTGGATATTTGGATAGCTTTCAGGATTTCGTTGGAAACGGGATTACAAACAAAATGTAGACAGCAGCATTCTCAGAAACTTCTTTGTGATGTTTGCTTTTAAGTCACAGAGTTGAACATTCCCTTCCATAGAGCAGTTTAGAAACACTCTTTCTATAGTATCTGGAAGTGGACATTTCGAGCGATTTCAGGCCTATGTTGAAAAACGAAATATCTTCCCATAAAAACTAGACAGTAGCATACTCAGAAGCTTCTTTGTGATGCTTGCTTTTAAGTCACAGAGTTGAACATTCCCTTTCGTAGAGCAGGTTTCAGACACTCTTTCTGTAGTATCTGGAAGTGGACATTTCGAGTGTTTTCAGGCCTATGGTGAACAAGGAAATATCTTCCCATAAAAACCAGACACAAGCATTTGCAGAAACTTGTTTGTGATGTGTGTCCTCAACTCACAGAATAGAACATTTCGTTTGACAGAGCAGCTTGGAAACACGCTTTTTGTAGAATCTGCAAGTGGATATTTGGATAGCTTTGTGGATTTCGTTGGAAACGGGAGAATCTCCATATAAAACCTAGACAGAAACATTCTCAGAAACTGCTTTGTGATGTCTGCATTCACGTTACAGAGTTGAATATTCCCCTTCATAGAGCAGGTTTGATACACTCTTTCTGTAGTATCTGGATGTGGACACTTGGAGCGCTTTGACGCTTACAGTGAAAAAGGAAATATCTTCCCATAAAAACTAGACAGAAGCATTCTCACAAACTGGTTTGTGATGTATGTCCTCATCTAACAGAGTTGAACTTTTCTATTTACAGAGCAGTTTTGAAAGACTCTTTTTGGAGAATCTGCAAGTGGATATTTCGAGAGCTTTAAGGATTTCACTGGAAACCCGAATATCTTCAGGTAAAATCTAGACAGAGGCATTCTCAGAAATTTCTTTGTGATGTGTGTACTCACCGACCAGAGTACAACCTGTCTTTTGATACAGCAGTTTGGAAACACTCTTTTTACAGAATCTGCAAGTGGATATTTGGATAGCTCTAACGATTTCGTGGGAAACGGGAACACCTTCATATAAAATCTAGACAGTGGCACTCTCAGAAACTGCTTTGTGATATCTGCATTCAAGTCACAGTGTTGAACATTCCCTTTCTGAGAGCAGGTTTGAACCACTCTTTTTGTAGTATCTGGAAGTGGACATTTGGAGCGCTTTGACGCCATTGGTGAAAAAGGAAATGTCTTCCCATAAAAACTAGACAGAAGCATTCTAAGAAACTTCTTTGGGATATATGTACTCAACTAACAGAGTTGAACCTTTCTATTTATAGGTCAGTTTTGAGAAGCTCTTGTTGTGGAATCTGCAAGTGGATATTAGGATAGCTCTGAGGATTTCCTTGGAAACGGGATTACATATAAAAAGTAGACAGCAGCATTCTCAGAACCTTCTTTGTGATGTTTGCTTTTAAGTCACAGAGTTGAATATTCCCTTACATAGAGCAGGTTTGAAACACTATTTCTGTAGTATCTGGACATGGACATTTCGAGCGATTTCAGGCCTATGTTGAAAACGGAAATATCTTCCCATAAATACTAGACAGAAGCATTCTCAGAAATTTCTTTGTGATGTGTGTCCTCAACTAACAGAGTTCATCCTTTCTTATGATACAGCAGTTTTGAAACACTCTTTTTGTAGAATATGTAAGTGGATAGTTGGATAGCTCTCATTATTTCATTGGAAACGGGAGTATCAACATAGAAAACCTAGACAGAAAAATTCTCAGAAACTGCTTTATGATGTCTGCATTCACGTCACAGAGTTGATCATTCCCTTTCATAGAGCAGGTTTGAAACACTATTTCTGTAGTATGTGGACATGGACATTTCGAGCGATTTCAGGCCTATGTTGAAAACGGAAATATCTTCCCATAAAAACTAGACAGAAGCATTCTCAGAAATTTCTTTGTGATGTGTGTCCTCAACTAACAGAGTTCATCCTTTCTTATGATACAGCAGTTTTGAAACACTCTTTTTGTAGAATATGTAAGTGGATAGTTGGATAGCTCTCATTATTTCATTGGAAACGGGAGTATCAACATAGAAAACCTAGACAGAAAAATTCTCAGAAACTGCTTTATGATGTCTGCATTCACGTCACAGAGTTGATCATTCCCTTTCATAGAGCAGGTTTGAAACCCTCTTTCCGTAGTATCTGGATGTGGACACTTGGAGCGCTTTGACGCTTACGGTGCAAAAGGAAATATCTTCCCATAAAAACTAGACAGAAGCATTCTCACAAACTGGATTGTGATGTTTGTCCTCAACTAACAGAGTTGAAACATTTTATTTGCAGAGCAGTTTTGAAAGACTGTTTTTGGAGAATCTTCAAGTGGATATTTGGAGAGCTTTAAGGAATTCATTGGAAACGGGAATATCTTCATATAAAATCTAGACAGAGGCATTCTCAGAAACTTCTTTGTGATGTGTGTCCTCAACTAACGGCGGTACATCCTGTCTTTTGATACAGCAGTTTGGAAACACTCTTTTTGTAGAATCTGCCAGTGGATATTTGCATAGCTCTAATGATTTCTTTGGAAACGGGAATACCTTCATATAAAATCTAGACAGAGGCACTCTCAGAAACTGCTTTGTGATATCTGCATTCAAGTCACACAGTTCAACATTCCCTTTCTTAGAGCAGGTTTGAAACACTCTTTTTGCAGGATCTGGAAGTGGACATTTGGAGCGCTTTGACGCCTTTGGTGATAAAGGAAATGTCTTCACATAAAAACTAGAAAGAAGCATTCTAAGAAACATCTTTGTGATATATGTACTCAACTAACCGAGTTGAACCTTGCTCTTTATAGATCAGCTTTTTAATGCTCTTTTTGTGGAATCTGCAAGTGGATATTTGGATAGCTTTCAGGATTTCGTTGGAAACGGGATTACAAACAAAATGTAGACAGCAGCATTCTCAGAAACTTCTTTGTGATGTTTGCTTTTAAGTCACAGAGTTGAACATTCCCTTCCATAGAGCAGTTTAGAAACACTCTTTCTATAGTATCTGGAAGTGGACATTTCGAGCGATTTCAGGCCTATGTTGAAAAACGAAATATCTTCCCATAAAAACTAGACAGTAGCATACTCAGAAGCTTCTTTGTGATGCTTGCTTTTAAGTCACAGAGTTGAACATTCCCTTTCGTAGAGCAGGTTTCAGACACTCTTTCTGTAGTATCTGGAAGTGGACATTTCGAGTGTTTTCAGGCCTATGGTGAACAAGGAAATATCTTCCCATAAAAACCAGACACAAGCATTTGCAGAAACTTGTTTGTGATGCGTGTCCTCAACTCACAGAATAGAACATTTCGTTTGACAGAGCAGCTTGGAAACACGCTTTTTGTAGAATCTGCAAGTGGATATTTGGATAGCTTTGTGGATTTCGTTGGAAACGGGAGAATCTCCATATAAAACCTAGACAGAAACATTCTCAGAAACTGCTTTGTGATGTCTGCATTCACGTTACAGAGTTGAATATTCCCCTTCATAGAGCAGGTTTGATACACTCTTTCTGTAGTATCTGGATGTGGACACTTGGAGCGCTTTGACGCTTACAGTGAAAAAGGAAATATCTTCCCATAAAAACTAGACAGAAGCATTCTCACAAACTGGTTTGTGATGTATGTCCTCATCTAACAGAGTTGAACTTTTCTATTTACAGAGCAGTTTTGAAAGACTCTTTTTGGAGAATCTGCAAGTGGATATTTCGAGAGCTTTAAGGATTTCACTGGAAACCCGAATATCTTCAGGTAAAATCTAGACAGAGGCATTCTCAGAAACCTCTTTGTGATGTGTGTCCTCAACTAACAAAGTACTACCTGGCTTTTGATACAGCAGTTTGGAAACACTCTTTTTGTACAATCTGCAAGTGGATATTTGGATAGCTCTAAAGATTTCGTAGGAAACGGGAATACCTTCATATAAAATCTAGACAGAGGCACTCTCAGAAACTGCTTTGTGATATCTGCATTCAAGTCACAGTGTTGAACATTCCCTTTCTGAGAGCAGGTTTGAACCACTCTTTTTGTAGTATCTGGAAGTGGACATTTGGAGCGCTTTGACGCCATTGGTGAAAAAGGAAATGTCTTCCCATAAAAACTAGACAGAAGCATTCTAAGAAACTTCTTTGGGATATATGTACTCAACTAACAGAGTTGAAACTTTCTATTTAGAGATCAGTTTTGAAAAGCTCTTTTTGTGGAATCTGCAAGTCGATGTTAGGATACCGCCGAAGATTTCGTTGGAGACGGGATTACATATAAAAATAGACAGCAGCATTCTCAGAAGCTTCTTTGTGATGTTTGCTTTTAAATCACAGAGTTGAATATTCCCTTCCATAGAGCAGGTTTGAAACACTCTTTCTGTAGTATCTGGAAGTGGACATTTCGAGCGATTTCAGGCCTATGTTGAAAAAGGAAATATCTTCCCATAAAAACTAGACAGAAGCATTCTCAGAAACTTCTTTGTGATGTGTGTCCTCAACTAACAGAGTTCAACCTCTCTTATGATACAGCAGTTTGGAAACACTCTTTTTGTAGAATATGCAACTGGATATTTGGAGAGCTCTAACTATTTTGTTGGTAACGGGAATATCTTCATATAAAATCTAGACAGAAGCACTCTCAGAAACTACTTTGTGATATCTGCATTCAAGTCACAGAGTTGAATATTCCCTTTCTTAGAGCAGGTTTGAAACCGTCTTTTCGTGGAATCTGCAGGAGGATATTTGGATAGCTTTGAGGATTTCGTAGGAAACGGGATTACATATACAAAGTGGACAGCAGCATTCTCAGAAGCTTCTTTGTGATGTTTGCTTTTAAGTCACAGAGTTGAACATTCCCTTTCATAGAGCAGGTTTCAAACACTCTTTCTGTAATATCTGGAAGTGGCCATTTCGAGCGCTTTCAGGCCTATGGTGAACAAGGAAATATCTTCCCATAAAAACTAAACAGAAGCCTTCGCAGAAACTTGTTTGTGATGTGTGTCCTCAACTCACAGAGTTGAACATTTCGTTTGACAGAGCAGTTTGGAAACACGCTTTTTGTAGAATCTGCAAGTGGATATTTGGATAGCTTTGTGGATTTCCTTGGAAACGGGAGTATCTTCATATAAAACCTAGAAAGAAGCATTCTAAGAATCTTCTTTGTGATGTTTGCTTTTAAGTCACAGAGTTCAACATTCCCTTCCATAGAGCCGGTTTGAAACCCTTTTTTTGTAGTATCTGGAAGTGGACATTTCGAGCACTTTCAGGCCTATGGTGAAAAAGGAAATATCTTCCCATAAAAGCAATACAGAAGCATTCCCAGAAACTTCGTTATGATGTGTGTCCTCAGCTAACAGAGTTGAACCTTTCTAATTACAGAGCAGATTTGAAAGACGCTTTTTGGAGAATCTGCAAGTGGATATTTGGAGAGCTTTAAGGATTTCTTTGGAAACCGGAATATCTTCAGGTAAAATCTAGACGGTGGCATTCTCAGAAACTTCTTTGTGACGTGTGTCCTCAACTAACAGAGTTCAGCCTTTGTTATGATACAGCAGTTTGGAAACACTCTTTTTGTACTATCAGGAAGTGGACTTCTGGAGCGCTTTGACACCTTTGGTGATAAAGAGATGTCTTCCCATAAAAACCAGACGGAAGCATTCTAAGAAAATTCTTTGGTATATATGTACTCAACTAACAGAGTTGAACCTTTCTATTTATAGATCAGTCTTGAAAAGCTCTTTTCGTGGAATCTGCAAGTGAATCTTAGGATAGCTCTGAGGATTTCGTTGGAAAGGGTATTACATATAAAAGTAGACAGCAGCATTCTAAGAATCTTCTTTGTGATGTTTGCTTTTAAGTCACAGAGTTCAACATTCCCTTCCATAGAGCCGGTTTGAAACCCTTTTTTTGTAGTATCTGGAAGTGGACATTTCGAGCGATTTCAGGCCTATGTTGAAAAAGGAAATATCTTCCCATAAAAGCAATACAGAAGCATTCTCAGAAACTTCTTTGTGATGTGTGTCCTCAACTAACAGAGTTCAACCTCTCTTATAATACAGCAGTTTGAAAAAACACTTTTTGTAGAATATGCAAGTGGATATTTGAACAGCTCTAACTATTTCGTTCGAAATGGGAATATCTTCATATAAAATCTAGACAGAAGCACTCTCAGAAACTACATTGTGATATCAGTATTCAAATCACAGAGTTGAATATTCCCTTTCTTAGAGCAGGTTTGAAACCGTCTTTTCGTGGAAGCTGCAGGAGGATATTTGGATAGCTTTGAGGATTTCGTTGGAAACGGGATTACATATACAAAGTAGACAGCAACATTCTCAGAAGCTTCTTTGTGATGTTTGCTTCTAAGTCACAGAGTTGAACATTCCCTTTCATACAGCAGGTTTGAAACACTCTTTCTGTAGTATCTGGAAGTGGACATTTCGAGCGCTTTCAGGCCCATGGTGAAAAAGGAAATATCTCCCCATAAAAACTAGAAAGAAGCATTCGCAGAAACTTGTTTGTGATGTGTGTCCTCAACCAACGGAGTTGAACATTTCCTGTGACAGAGCAGTTTGGAAACACGCTTTTTGTAGAATCTGCAAGTGGATATTTGGATAGCTTTGTGGATTTCCTTGGGAACGGGAGTATCTTCATATAAAACCTAGACGGAAATATTCTCCGAAACTCCTTTGTAATGTCTGCATTCACGTCACAGAGTTGAACATTCCCTTTCATAGAGCAGGTTTGAAACACTCTTTCTGAAGTATCAGGATGTGGACACTTGGAGCGCTTTGACGCTTACGGTGAAAAAAGGAATAACTTCCCATGAAAACTAGACAGAAGCATTCTCACAAACTGGTTTGTGATGTATGTCCTCAACTAACAGAGTTGAACCTTTCTATTTACAGAGCAGTTTTCAAAGACTCTTTTTGGAGAATCTGCAAGTGGATATCTGGAGATCTTTAAGGATTTCACTGCAAACCGGAATATCTTCAGGTAAAATCTAGACAGAGGCATTCTCGGAAACTTCTTCGTGATGTGCGTCCTCAACTAACAGAGTACAACCTGTCTTTTGATACATCAGTTTGGAAACACTCTTTTTGTAGAATCTGCAAGAGGATATTTGGATAGCTCTAGCGATTTCGATGGATACGAGAATACCTTCATATGAAATCTAGACAGAGCCACTCTCAGAAACTGCTTTGTGATATCTGCATTCAAGTCACAGAGTTGAACATTCCCTTTCTTCGGGCAGGTTTGAAACACTCTTTTTGTAGTATCTGGAAGTGGACATTTGGAGCGCTTTGACGCCTTTTGTGAAAAAGGAAATGTCTTCACATAAAAACTAGACAGAAGCATTCTAAGAAAATTCTTTCGGATATATGTACACAACTAACGGAGTTGAATCATTCTATTTATAGATCAGTTTTCAAACGCTTTTTTTATGGAATCTGCAAGTGGATATTCGGATAACTCTGAGGATTTCGTTGGAGACAGGATTACGTATAAAAGTAGACAGCAGCATTCTCAGAAGCTTCTTTGTGATGTTTGCTTTTAAGTCACAGAGTTGAATATTCTCTTCCGTAGAGCAGGTTTGAAACACTCTTTCTGTAGTATCTGGAAGTGGACATTTCGAGCGCTTTCAGGCCTATGTTGAAAAACGAAACATCTTCCCATAAAAACTAGACAGAAGCATTCTCAGAAACTACTTTTTGATGTGTGTCCTCAACGAACAGAGTTCAACCTCTCTTATAATACAGCAGTTTGGAAACACTCTTTTTGTAGAGTATGCAAGGGGATATTTGGATAGCTCTAAGTATTTCGTTGGAAACGGGAATATCTTCATATAAAATCTAGACAGAAGCACTCTCAGGAACTAATTTGTGATATCTCCATTCAAGTCACAGATTTGAATATTCCCTTTCTCAGAGTAGGTTTGAAACCGTCTTTTCTTGGAATCTGCAGGAGGATATTTGGATAGCTTTGAGGATTTCGTTGGAAACGGGATTACATGTACAAACTCGACAGCAGCATTCTCAGAAGCTTCTTTGTGATGTTTGCTTTTAAGTCACAGAGTTGAACATTCGCATTCATAGAGCAGGTTTGAAACACTCTTTCTGTAGTATCTGGAAGTGGACGTTTCGAGCGCTTTCAGGCTCATGGTGAAAAAGGAAATATCTTCCCATAAAAACTAGACAGAAGCATTCGCAGAAACTTGTTTGTGATGTGTGTCCTCAACCAACAGAGTTGAACATTTCCTGTGACAGAGCAGTTTGGAAACACGCTTTTTGTAGAATCTGCAAGTGGATATTTGGATAGCTTTGTGGATTTTCCTTGGGAACGGGAGTATCTTCATATAAAACCTAGACGGAAACATTCTCAGAAACTGCTTTGTGATATCTCCATTCACGTCACAGAGTTGAACATTCCCTTTCATAGAGCAGGTTTGAAAGACTCTTTCTGTAGTATCTGGATGTGGACACTTGGAGCGCTTTGACGCTTACGGTGAAAAAGGAAATATCTTCCCATAAAAACTAGACAGAAGCATTCTCACAAACTGGTTTGTGATGTATGTCCTCAAATAACAGAGTTGAATATTTCTATTTACAGAGCAGTTTTGAAAGACTCTTTTTGGAGAATCTGCAAGTGGATATTTGGAGAGCTTTAAGGATTTCATTGGAAACCGGAATATCTTCAGGTAAAATCTAGACAGAGGCTTTCTCAGAAACTTCTTTGTGATGTGTGTCCTAAAGTAACAGAGTACAACCTGTCTTTTGATACAGCAGCTTGGAAACACTCTTTCTGTAGAATCTGCAAGTGGATATTTGGATAGCTGTAGCCATTTCGTTGGAAACGGGAATATCTTCATATAAACTCTAGACAGAAGCACTCTCAGAAACTACTTTGTGATATCTGTATTCAAGTCACAGAGTTGAATATTCCCTTTCTTAGAGCAGGTTTGAAGCCGTCTCTTCGTGGAATCTGCGGGAGGATATTTGGATAACCTTGAGGATTTCGTTGGAAACGGGATTACATATAGAAAGTAGACAGCAGCATTCTAAGAAGCTGCTTTGTGCTGTTTCCTTTTAAGTCACAGTGTTGAACATTCCCTTACATAGAGCAGGTTTGAAACACTCTTTCGGTAGTATCTGGAAGAGGACATTTCGAGCGCTTTCAGGCCTATGGTGAAAAAGGAAATATCTTCCCATAAAAACTAGACAGAAGCATTCGCAGAAACTTGTTTGTGATGTGTGTCCTCAACTCACAGGGTTGAACATTTCGTTTGACACAGCAGTTTGGAAACACGCTTTTTGTAGAATCTGCAAGTAGATATTTGGATAGCTTTGTGGATTTCTTTGGAAATGGGAGTATCTCCATATAAAACATAGACAGAAACATTCTCACAAACTGCTTCGTGATATCTGCATTCACGTCACAGAGTTGAACATTCCCTTTCATAGAGCAGGTTTGAAACACTCTTTCTGTAGTATCTGGATGTGGACACTTGGAGCGCTTTGACGCTTACGGTGAAAAAGGAAATATCTTCCCATAAAAACTAGATAGAAGCATTCTCACAAACTGGTTTGTGATGTAGGTCCTCAACTAACAGAGTACAACCTGTCTTTTGATACAGCAGTATTGAAACACTCTTTCTGTAGAATCTGCAATTGGATCTTTGGATAGCTCTAACGATTTCGTTGGATAAGGGAATACCTTCATATAAAATCTAGACAGAGGCACTGTCGGAAACTGCTTTGTGATATCTGCATTCAACTCACAGAGTTGAACATTCCCTTTCTTAGAGCAGGTTTGAAACACTCTTTTTGTAGTATCTGGAAGTGGACATTTGGAGCGCTTTGACGCCTTTGGTGATAAAGGAAATGTCTTCACATAAAAACTAGACAAAAGCATTCTATGAAACTTCTTTGGGATATATGTACTCAACTAACGGAGTTGAATCATTCTATTTATAGATCAGTTTTCAAAAGCTCTTTTTATGCAATCTACAAGTGGATATTCGGATAGCTCTGAGGATTTCGTTGGAGACGGGATTACATATAAAAAGTAGACAGC
>NC_000018.10:20687521-20696289 GCF_000001405.40 Homo sapiens
AGCATTCTCAGGAGCTTCTTTGTGATGTTTCCTTTTAAGTCACAGAGTTGAATATTCCCTTCCATAGGCAGGTTTGAAACTCTCTTTCTGTAGTATTTTGGAAGAGGACATTTCGAGCGATTTCAGGCCTATGTGGGAAAAAGGAAATATCTTCCCATAAAAACTAGACTGTCCTCAATAAAATGCTGGCAAACCGAAATCCAGCAGCACATCAAAAAACTTATCCACCATGATCAAGTGGGCTTCATCCCTGGGATGCAAGAGCATTCTCAGAAACTTCTTTGTGATGTGTGTCCTCAACTAACAGAGTTCAACCTCTCTTATGATACAGCAGTTTGGAAACACTCTTTTGGTAGAATATGCAAGGGGATATTTGGATAGCTCTAAGTATTTCGTTGGAAACGGGGATATCTTCATATAAAATCTAGACAGAAGCACTCTCAGGAACTACTTCGTGATATCTGCATTCAAGTCACAGAGTTGAATATTCCCTTTCTCAGAGCAGGTTTGAAACAGTCTTTTCTTGGAATCTGCAGGAGGATATTTGGATAGCTTTGAGGATTTCGTTGGAAACGGGATTACATATACAAAGTAGACAGCAGCATTCTCAGAGGCTTCTTTGTGATGTTTGCTTTTAAGTCACAGAGTTGAACATTCGCATTCATAGAGCAGGTTTGAAACACTCTTTCTGTAGTATCTGGAAGTGGACGTTTCGTGCGCTTCGACGCCATTGCTGAAAAAGGATATGTCTTCACATAAAAACTAGACAGAAGCATTCTCAGAAACTTCTTTGGGATATATGTACTCAACTAACGGAGTTGAATCATTCTATTTATAGATCAGTTTTCAAAAGCTCTTTTTATGGAATCTGCAAGTGGATATTCGGATAGCTCTGAGGATTTCGTTGGAGACTGGATTACATATATAAAGTAGACAGCAGCATTCTCAGAAGCGTCTTTGTGATGTTTGCTTTTAAGTCACAGAGTTGAATTTTCCCTTCCATAGAGCAGGTTTGAAACAATCTTTCTGTAGTATCTGGAAGTGGACATTTCGAGCGCTTTCAGGCCTATGTTGAAAAATTAAATATCTTCTCATAAAAACTATACAGAAGCATTCTCAGAAACTTCTTTCTGATGTCTGTCCTCAACTAACAGAGTTGAACCTTTCTTTTGATGCAGCAGTTTGGAAACACTCTTTTTGTAGAAACTGTAAGTGGATATTTGGATAGGTCTAACGATATCGTTGGAAACGGGAATATCTTCATCTAAAGTATACACAGAAGCACTCTCAGAAACTACTTTGTGATATCTGCATTCAAGTCACAGAGTTGAACATTCCCTTTCTTAGAGCAGGTTTGAAAACTCATTTTGTAGAATCTGGAAGTGGACATTTGGAGCGCTTTGACGCCTTTGGTGAAAAAGGAAATGTCTTCCCATAAAAACTAGACAGAAGCATTCTCAGAAGCTTCTTTGTGATGTTTGCTTGTAAGTCACAGAGTTGAACATTCTCTTTCATAGAGCAGGTTTGAAACACTCTTCCTGTAGTATCTGGAAGTGGACATTTCGAGCGCTTTCAGGCCTATGGTGAACAAGGAAATATCTTCCCATAAAAACTAGATAGAAGCATTCGCAGAAACTTCTTTGTGATGTGTGTCCTCAACTCACAGAGTCGAACATTTCGTTTGACAGAGCAGTTTGGAAACACGCTTTTTGTAGAATCTGCAAGTGGATATTTGGATAGCTTTGCGGATTTTGCTTGAAACGGGAGTATCTTCCTATTAAACCTAGACAGAAACATTCTCAGAAACTGCTTTGTGATGTCTGCATTCACGTCACGGAGTTGAACATTCCCTTTCATAGAGCAGGTTTGAAACTCCCTTTCTGTAGTATCTGGATGTGGACACTTGGAGGGCTTTGACGCTTACGGTGAAAAAGGAAATATGTTCCCATGAAAACTAGACAGAAGCATTCTCACAAACTGGTTTGTGATGTATGTCCTCAACTAACAGACTTGAACCTTTCTATTTACAGAGCAGTTTTGAAAGACACTTTTTGGAGACTCTGCAAGTGGATATTTGGAGAGCTTTAAGGATTTCACTGGAAACCGGAATATCTTGAGGAAAAATCTAGACAGAGGCATTCTCAGAAACTTCTTTGTGATGTGTGTCCTCAACTAACAGAGTACAACTTGTCTTCTGATACAGCAGTTTCGAAACACTCTTTTTGTAGAAACTCCAAGAGGATATTTCGATAGCTCTAACGGTTTCGTTGGAAACCGGAATACCTTCATATAAAATTTAGCAGAGGCACTCTCAGAAACTGCTTTGTGATATCTGCATTCAAGTCACAGAGTTGAACATTCCCTTTCTTAGAGCAGGTTTGAAACACCCTTTTTGTAGTATCTGGAAGTGGACATTTGGAGCGCTTTGACGCCTCTGGTGAAAAAGGAAAGGTCTTCCCATAAAAACTAGACAGAAGCATTCTAAGGAACTTCTTTGGGATATATGTACTCAACTAACACAGTTGAACCTTTCTATTTATAGATCAGTTTTGAAAAGCTCTTTTTGTGGAATCCGCATGTGGATATTAGGATAGCACTGAGGATTTCGTTGGAGACGGGATTACGTATAAAAAGTAGACAGCAGCATTCTCAGAAGCTTCTTTGTGATGTTTGCTTTTAAATCGCAGAGTTCAATATTCCCTTCCATAGAGCAGGTTTGAGACACTCTTTCTGTAGTATCTGGAAGTGGACATTTCGAGCGATTTCAGGCCTAGGTTGAAAAAGGAAATATCTTCCAATAAAAATTAGACGGAAGCATTCTCAAAAATTTCTTTGTGATGTGTGTCCTCAACTAACAGGGTTCAACCTTTCTTTTGATACAGCAGTTTGTAAACACTCTTTTTGTAGAATCTGCATGTGGATATTTGGATAGCTCTAACCATTTCATAGGAAACGAGAATAACTTCATATAAAATCTAGACAGAGGCACTCTCAGAAACTGCTTTGTGATATCTGCACTCAAGTCACAGAGTTGAACATTCCCTTTCTTAGAGCAGGTTTGAGACACTTTGTAGTATCTGGAAGTGGACATTTTTAGCGCTTTGACGCCTTTGGTGAAAAAGGAAATGTTTTCCCATAAAAACTAGACAGAAGCATTCTAAGAAACTTCTTGGCGATATATGTACTCACCTAACAGAGTTGAACCTTTCTATTGATAGATCAGTTTCGAAAAGCTCTTTTTGTGGAATCTGCAATTGGATATAAGGATAGTTCTGAGGATTTCGTTGGAGACGGGATTGCATATAAAAAGTAGACAGCAGCATTCTCAGAAGCTTCTTTGTGATGTTTGCTTTTAAGTCACAGAGTTGAATATTCCATTCCATAGAGCAGGTTTGAAACCCTCTTTCTCTACTATCTGGAAGTGGACATTTCGAGCGCTTTCAGGCCTATGGTGAACAAGGAAATATCGTCCCATAAAAACTAGACAGAAGCATTAGCAGAAAATTGTTTGTGATGTGTGCCCTCAACTCACAGAGTGGAACACTTCGTTTCACAGAGCAGTTTGGAAACACGCTTTTTGTAGAATTTGCATGTGGATATTTGGATAGCTTTGTGGATTTCGTTGGAAACGGAAGTATCCTCATATAAAAATTAGACAGAAACATTCTCAGAAACTGCTTTGTGATATCTCCATTCACGTCACAGAGTTGAACATTCCCTTTCATAGAGCAGGTTTGAAAGACTCTTTCTGTAGTATCTGGATGTGGACACTTGGAGCGCTTTGACGCTTACGGTGAAAAAGGAAATATCTTCCCATAAAAACTAGACAGAAGCATTCTCACAAACTGGTTTGTGATGTATGTCCTCAACTAACAGCGTTGAACCTTTCTATTTACAGAGCAGTTTTGAAAGACTCTTTTTGGAGAATCTGTAAGCGGATATTTGGAGAGCTTCAAGGATTTCATTTTAAACCGTAATATCTTCAGGTAAAATCTAGCCAGAGGCATTCTCAGAAACTTATTTATGATGTGTGTCCTCAACTAACAGAGTACAACCTATCTTTTGATACAGCAGTTTGGAAACACTCTTTTTGTAGAATCTGCAAGTGGATATTTCGATAGCTGTAACGATTTCGTTGGAAATGGGAATACCTTCATATAAAATCTAGAGAGGGCACTCTCCGAAAGTGCTTTGAGCTATCTGCTTTCAAGTCACAGAGTTGAACATTCCCTTTCTTAGAGAAGGTTTGAAACACTCTTTTTGTAGTATGTGTAAGTGGACACTTAGACCGCTTCGACCCCTTTGGTGAAAAAGGAAATGTCTTCCCATAAAAACTAGACAGAAGCATTCTAAGAAACTTCTTTGGGATATATGTACTCAACTAACAGAGTTGAACCTTTCTATTTCTGGGTCAGTTTTGAGAAGCTCTTTTTCTGTAATCTGCAAGTGGATATTCGGATAGCTCTGAGGATTTCCTTGGAAACGGGATTTCATATAAAATATAGACAGCAGCATTCTCAGAAGCTTCTTTGTGATGGTTGCTTTTAAGTCACAGAGTTGAATATTCCCTTCCATAGAGCAGGATTGAAACACTCTTTCTGTAGTATCCGGAAGTGGACATTTCGGGCGATTTCAGTCCTATGTTGAAAAAGGAAATATCATCCCATAAAAACTAGACAGAAGCATTCTCAGAAATTTCTTTGTGATGTGTGTCCTCAACTAACAGAGTTCAAACTGTCTTATGATACAGCAGTTTGGAAACACTCCTTTTGTAGAATATGCAAGTGGATATTTGGATAGCTCTAACTATTTCGTTGGAAACGGGAATATCTTCATATAAAATCTAGACACAAGCACTCTCAGAAACTACTTTCTGATATCTGCATTCAAGTCACAGAGTTGAATATTCCCTTTCTTAGAGCAGGTTTGAAACCGTCTTTTCGTGGAATCTGCAGGAGGATATTTGGATAGCTTTGAGGATTTCGTTGGAAAAGGGATTAAATATAAAAATAGAAAGCAGCATTCTCAGAAGCTTCTTTGTGATGTTTGCTTTTAAGTCACAGTGTTCAACATTCCCTTTCATAGAGCAGTTTTGAAACACTCTTTCTGTAGTATCTGGAAGTGGACATTTCGAGTGCTTTCAGGCCTATGGTGAAAAAGGAAATATCTTCCGATAAAAACTAGACAGAAGCATTCGCAGAAACTTGTTTGTGATATGTATCCTCAACTATCAGAGTTGAACATTTCATTTGACAGAGCAGTTTGGAAACACGCTTTTTGTAGAATCTGCAAGTGGATATTTGGATAACTTTGTGGATTTCCTTGGAAACGGGAGTATCTTCATATAAAACCTAGACAGAAACATTCTCAGAAACTGCTATATGATGTCTGCATTCACGTCACAGAGTTGATCATTCCCTTTCATAGAGCAGGTTTGAAACACTCTTTCTGTACTATCTGGATGTGGACACTTGGAGCGCTTTGACGCTTAAGGTGCAAAAGAAATATCTTCCCATAAAAACTAGACAGAAGCATTCTCACAAACTGGATTGTGATGTTTGTCCTCAACTAACAGAGTTGAAACATTTTATTTGCAGAGCAGTTTTGAAAGACTGTTTTTGGAGAATCTTCAAGTGGATATTTGGAGAGCTTTAAGGAATTCATTGGAAACGGGAATATCTTCATATAAAATCTAGACAGAGGCATTCTCAGAAACTTCTTTGTGATGTGTGTCCTCAACTAACGGCGGTACATCCTGTCTTTTGATACAGCAGTTTGGAAACACTCTTTTTGTAGAATCTGCCAGTGGATATTTGCATAGCTCTAATGATTTCTTTGGAAACGGGAATACCTTCATATAAAATCTAGACAGAGGCACTCTCAGAAACTGCTTTGTGATATCTGCATTCAAGTCACACAGTTCAACATTCCCTTTCTTAGAGCAGGTTTGAAACACTCTTTTTGCAGGATCTGGAAGTGGACATTTGGAGCGCTTTGACGCCTTTGGTGATAAAGGAAATGTCTTCACATAAAAACTAGAAAGAAGCATTCTAAGAAACATCTTTGTGATATATGTACTCAACTAACCGAGTTGAACCTTGCTCTTTATAGATCAGCTTTTTAATGCTCTTTTTGTGGAATCTGCAAGTGGATATTTGGATAGCTTTCAGGATTTCGTTGGAAACGGGATTACAAACAAAATGTAGACAGCAGCATTCTCAGAAACTTCTTTGTGATGTTTGCTTTTAAGTCACAGAGTTGAACATTCCCTTCCATAGAGCAGTTTAGAAACACTCTTTCTATAGTATCTGGAAGTGGACATTTCGAGCGATTTCAGGCCTATGTTGAAAAACGAAATATCTTCCCATAAAAACTAGACAGTAGCATACTCAGAAGCTTCTTTGTGATGCTTGCTTTTAAGTCACAGAGTTGAACATTCCCTTTCGTAGAGCAGGTTTCAGACACTCTTTCTGTAGTATCTGGAAGTGGACATTTCGAGTGTTTTCAGGCCTATGGTGAACAAGGAAATATCTTCCCATAAAAACCAGACACAAGCATTTGCAGAAACTTGTTTGTGATGCGTGTCCTCAACTCACAGAATAGAACATTTCGTTTGACAGAGCAGCTTGGAAACACGCTTTTTGTAGAATCTGCAAGTGGATATTTGGATAGCTTTGTGGATTTCGTTGGAAACGGGAGAATCTCCATATAAAACCTAGACAGAAACATTCTCAGAAACTGCTTTGTGATGTCTGCATTCACGTTACAGAGTTGAATATTCCCCTTCATAGAGCAGGTTTGATACACTCTTTCTGTAGTATCTGGATGTGGACACTTGGAGCGCTTTGACGCTTACAGTGAAAAAGGAAATATCTTCCCATAAAAACTAGACAGAAGCATTCTCACAAACTGGTTTGTGATGTATGTCCTCATCTAACAGAGTTGAACTTTTCTATTTACAGAGCAGTTTTGAAAGACTCTTTTTGGAGAATCTGCAAGTGGATATTTCGAGAGCTTTAAGGATTTCACTGGAAACCCGAATATCTTCAGGTAAAATCTAGACAGAGGCATTCTCAGAAACCTCTTTGTGATGTGTGTCCTCAACTAACAAAGTACTACCTGGCTTTTGATACAGCAGTTTGGAAACACTCTTTTTGTACAATCTGCAAGTGGATATTTGGATAGCTCTAAAGATTTCGTAGGAAACGGGAATACCTTCATATAAAATCTAGACAGAGGCACTCTCAGAAACTGCTTTGTGATATCTGCATTCAAGTCACAGTGTTGAACATTCCCTTTCTGAGAGCAGGTTTGAACCACTCTTTTTGTAGTATCTGGAAGTGGACATTTGGAGCGCTTTGACGCCATTGGTGAAAAAGGAAATGTCTTCCCATAAAAACTAGACAGAAGCATTCTAAGAAACTTCTTTGGGATATATGTACTCAACTCACAGAGTTGAACCTTTCTCTTTATAGATCAGTTTTGAAAAGCTCCTTTTGTGGAATCTGCAAATGGATATTAGGATAGCTCTGAGGATTTCATGGGAGACGGGAATAAATATAAAAAGTAGACATCAGCATTCTCAGGAGCTTCTTTGTGATATTTGCTTTTAAGTCACTGAGTGGAATATTCCCTTTCATAGAGCAGGTTTGAAACACACTTTCTGTAGCATGTGGAAGGGGACATTTCGACTGATTTCATGCCTATGTTGAAAAAGTAAATACCTTCCCATGCAAACTAGACAGAAGCATTCTCAGAAACTTCTTTGTGATGTGTGTCCTCAACTAACAGAGTTCAACCTCTCTTATGATACAGCAGTTTGGAAACACTCTTTTTGTAGAATATGCAACTGGATATTTGGAGAGCTCTAACTATTTTGTTGGTAACGGGAATATCTTCATATAAAATCTAGACAGAAGCACTCTCAGAAACTACTTTGTGATATCTGCATTCAAGTCACAGAGTTGAATATTCCCTTTCTTAGAGCAGGTTTGAAACCGTCTTTTCGTGGAATCTGCAGGAGGATATTTGGATAGCTTTGAGGATTTCGTAGGAAACGGGATTACATATACAAAGTGGACAGCAGCATTCTCAGAAGCTTCTTTGTGATGTTTGCTTTTAAGTCACAGAGTTGAACATTCCCTTTCATAGAGCAGTTTTGAAACACTCTTTCTGTAGTATCTGGAAGTGGACATTTCGAGTGCTTTCCGAACTATCGTGAAAAAGGAAATATCTTCCGATAAAAACTAGACAGAAGCATTCGCAGAAACTTGTTTGTGATGTGTGTCCTCAACTCACAGAGTTGAACATTTCGTTTGACAGAGCAGTTTGGAAACACGCTTTTTGTAGAATCTGCAAGTGGATATTTGGATAGCTTTGTGGATTTCCTTGGAAACGGGAGTATCTTCATATAAAACCTAGAAAGAAACATTCTCAGAAACTGCTTTGTGATGTCTGTATTCACGTCACAGAGTTGAATATTTCCTTTCATAGAGCAGGTTTGAAACACTCTTTCTGTAGTACCTGGATGTGGACACTTGGAGCGCTTTGAGGCTTACGGTGCAAAAGGAAATATCTTCCAATGAAAACTAGACAGAAGCATTCTCAAAAACTAGTTTGTGATGTATTTCCTCAACTAACAGAGTTGAACCTTTCTATTTACAGAGTAGTTTTGAAAGACTCTTTTTGGAGAATCTGCAAGTGGATATTTGGAGAGCTTTAAGGATTTCATTGTAAACCGGAATATCTTCAGGTAAAATCTAGACAGA